>NC_000011.10:106869394-107172424 GCF_000001405.40 Homo sapiens
CTCAAACAAATTTACAAGAAAAAAACAAACAACCCCATCAACAAGGGGCAAAGGATATGAACAGACGCTTCTCAAAAGAAGACATTTATGCAGCCAACAGACACATGAAAAAATGCTCATCATCACTGGCCATCAGAGAAATGCAAATCATAACCACAGTGAGATAACATCTTATGCCAGTTAGAATGGCAATCATTAAAAAGTCAGGAGCAACAGGTGCTGGAGAGGATGTGGAGAAATAGGAACATTTTACACTGTTGGTGGGACTGTAAACTAGTTCAACCATTGTGGAAGACAGTGTGGCGATTCCTCAGGGATCTAGAGCTAGAAATACCATTTGACCCAGCCATCCCATTACTGGGTATATACCCAAAGGAATATAAATCATGCTGCTATAAAGACACATGCACATGTATGTTTATTGCAGCACTACTCACAACAGCAAAGACTTGGAACCAACCCAAATGTCCAACAATGATAGAGTGGATTAAGAAAATGTGGTACATATACACCATGGAATACTATGCAGCCATAAAAAAGGATGAGTTCATGTCCTTTGTAGGGACGTGGATGAAGCTGGAAACCATCATTCTCAGGAAACTATCGCAAGGACAAATACCAAACACCGCATGTTCTCACTCATAGGTGGGAAATGAAAAATGAGAACTCTTGGACACAGGAAGGGGAACATCACACACCAGGGCCTCTTGTGAGGGGGGGGGAGGGGGGAGGGATAGCATTAGGAGATATAACTAATGTAAATGACGAGTTAATGGGTGTTGCACACCAACATGGCACATGTATACATACGTAACAAACCCATACATTGTGCACATGTACCCTAGAACTTAAAGTATAATAAAAAAAATATATCTATAAAAAAACTACACCATAGCAGGTGCAACTTAGTTTCAGCAAACATTTACATTCATATAATTTAACACTGTTAAATTGAATTTGATTAGTTTTGTGGGAGTTCTTTGGTATTTAGTTTATAAATATATTTTATTTTATAGTTGTATGTGAATTATATGTACAAGAATTCCAAATTCCTGTTAGGTTTGAACATAACCAATTAACATTAATATAAAAATAATTTAAGTAAATACAGGGGATCAACAAGAAGTTATTTTGTATGTTTTTGTTGTTGTTGTTACTTGTTTGTTTCCCTTCCTTTGAAAGAGCTTGCTACACATCTAAAGTTTGTAGGGGTGGGAATTATTATAATGGCTGCGTATGACCTTCAGAAAGAAATCCAAGATCTCTCAATAAACAGCTCTGGATAACTTTTCCAGCCTTCTCTCTTCCCTGCCACTGACTGTACTGCAAACAAATCTACTTACCTAGATTTCCAGAAAGCTTCTTCTTCTCTCCCATCTCCATGCTATGCAAGGTTCTTTCATTCTTTTGTTTTAATTAATTGATGTATGTGGTTTCGCCTAAAGCCATACATCATATTGCACTCAACCTTAAATTCAGTGCTATGGAAAACTTCCCAGGTTTCTTCCCCCTATTCTTGCTTTCTCCTAGGACTACAGGTATCCTATTTCATTACACTTGTTGCTCTAAATTACAGTGATATTTTCATTGGCTTATTATGATAAGCTTCTCAAGTCCAAGGACCATGTCCATATTTCCAGTGTCTAGCTTAGTTCCAAGTGCATAATTAGCAACTAATAAACAATTTTAAATGAGTACACAGTGGAGTAAGTGAGCATCTGACTACCTGGAATTTGTATAAACTTAGAGGAACATTAAAATATCCTAATAATGTGATGATTAATCAACCTTCAGTAATCTTCAGAGAAACACAGAAAACCAAATTACTGCCAGAAGAATTAAGATGAGTATATTTTGATCTAATTTCAAAAAAGGGGTAAAAATGAAATGTCGACATTAGCGTTATGTCAAGGTTTTTAATTTTCTACAAACTGGCAGTCTTAAAATAACAAACATTTATTCTCTCACAGTTTTGGATGCTAGATGTCCAAAAATCAAGGTGTTGACAGGGTGATGCTCTTTCTAAAGGCTTTAGGAAGAATCTGTTCCATACAGCTCTCTTAACTTCCAGTATTGTCAGCAATCCTTGCTGTCCCTATGCTTTCAGACATGTGACTCCCATCTCTGCCACCATGGTCACAAGGAATTCTCCCTGTGTATCTGTCTTTGTGTTTCTTCTCTTCTTACAAGGATACCAGTTATATTGTATTAAAATAATGACCTCACCTTAAGGTCATTTGATTATAACTGCCAAAAGCTTATTTCCAAATAAAGTCACATTCACATGGAAAATGAAATGGACATATTTCTGGGACTCAACAAATGTGCATTAAAAGAAAAGGTATGTCACATTAACACGATTTCTATTTGCTTTAAGGTTATTATACTATTTGATCTGGGTAATGTCAAAGATGTAATGTACTTTGATTTAGAAGATATTTAACAGACTCATTATGAATTAGGAGTATAGACAGGAAAATATTAGCTGGTTTAGGTGAATTAAACTAATTAGTCAAATCCCTGAAGTATTTTATATTGCAAATTCTGCATATTACCAGCCTTGACGTGTGTTCTATAGTGCTCTGCTGTAGATGTTGTCATGTATCCTTTGAAATTCTACATTTTTATCAAAAGTTAGAATGAAAGTATATTTATCTAAGTTACACAGGATTAAAAAACATAAGCGGTTGATAACACAGAGAAAGAGAATGAAGATTTAAGTATCTCTACAGGCAATTATGCTAGACCAAAATTAACTATAATTAAATTGAACAAGAATAAATGTAAAACCTTGTAACATAGGAATCATCTGCACGATTACAGGATTGGGCAGAATCAACACAGGAGTGAGTCTTGGAAAACTAATCTATGGGTTTTAAAGTCAATATATACAAATATAATGTAGCTGACAATTATAGCAATAAAAATACTAATATTATCATAAGTGACACTCATATTCCTACTTGCAGAATCCAGAGAAAGGTCACAACATTGCTACATACCAGTCAAGTTGCTTATTATTAGACTATCTACATTCTGAGGCTGGAATGTTCTATGAAGAGCATGATAAATAGTTTGAATGACTGGAACTTTAATTCTGAAGACTAGAAGATAAGGAACAGACACTTTTAAATATCTGAGGGATAGTCATATAAAAGAGATTTATACTAATTTTAATTTAAGGAGTTGAGAATAGGACCAGTGAATACAAATCAGAAAAAGATCTCAGCAAAATATATAGGCAAAAAGCCGGCAATTAGCAGTACTCAAAAGTGTAATTGCTGCTTTGTGAACTCTGGATATAAGCATGCTGTCTGGATGACCAATTTAAGTCCCAATTCTTCAGAATGGTGCATGTGCACACACACACATACCAACACAAAAGCTGTTCTTTTTTTTCTTTTTTAAAATTTTACTTTAAATTCAGCTACACATGTGCAGAACGTGCAGATTTGTTACATAGGTATACATGTGCCATGGTGGCTTGCTGCACCCATTGACCCGTCCTCTGAAGTTCCCTCCCCTCGCCTCCCACCCCCGAAGAGGCCCTGGTGTGTTTTGTTCCCCTCCCTGTGTCAATGTGGTCTCACAGTTCAACTCCCACTTATGTTTGAGAAATGCAGTGTTTGGTTTTCTGATCCTGTGTTAGTTTGCTGAGAATGATAGCTTGCAGCTTCATCCATGTCCCTGCAAAGGACATGATCTCATTCCTTTTTATGGCTGCATAGTATTCCGTGGTATATATGTACCACATTTTCTTTATCCGGTCTATCATTGATGGGCATTTGGGATGGTTCCATGATTTTGCTATTATAAATAGTGCTGCAATAAACATACATGTGCATGTGTCTTTATAGTAGAATGATTTATATTCCTTTGGGTATATACCCAGTAGTGGGATTGCTGGGTCAAATGGTACTTCTGGTTCTAGATCCTTGAGGAATCACCATACTGTCTTCCACAATGAATGAACCAATTTACATTCTCAATGACAGTGTAAAAGCATTCCTATTTCTCCACAGCCTCACCAGCATCAAATGTTTCTTCAGTTTTTAACAATCACCATTTTGACTGGTATGAGATGGTATCTCAGTGTGGTTTTGATTTGCATTTCTCGGACGATCAGTGATGTTGAACTTTTTTCATATGTTTCTTGGCCACGTACATGTCTTTTTTTGAGAAGTGTATGTTCATATCCTTTGCCCACTTTTTCATGGGGTTGTCCATTTTTTTCTTGTAAATTTGTTTAATTCCTTGTAAATTCTGGATATTAGACCTTTGTCAGATGGGTAGATTGCAAAAATTTTCTCCCATTCCGTAGGTTGCCCGTTCACTCTGATGATAGTTTCTTTTGTTGTGCAGAAGCTCTTTAGTTTAATTAGATCCCATTTGTCAATTTTGGCTTTTGTTGCAATTGCTACAAAAGCTTTTCTTAATACGTTCTTCACCAATAGACTAGTTTCATCTCATGTCAATCTGTTAATAATTATCCAAATTGTCTATGAACTCTCCATGTCTCCATGTTTTTGCATATTGTCTCCTCTGCCTAGCGTGCTCTTTGTTTTCTAAGCTTCATGTTCAAAGACTAATTCAAATGTTAGAGCTTTCTGGAACCTCTGATATATAAATCAATGTTATCCTTTATTATAGAATATTTTAGTAGCCTGTTCACTCCATTCTTCTATCTCATTACATTGAGAGTTTCAGCAGGAGGGTATTTTGATCTTATTTATCTTTGATGTCTAGCACAATGTCTTCTAATTAATATGTAATCAAAAAATATTTGCTGAATACATATTATATAGTGCACTCTCCCACACAGCTGGATGTTATGTTAGATAACCTTACTTAAGGGCTCTTTAAAATCCAATAGGCTGTGGCCTTTGTAGAATAGGATCGAATACAGAAACCGAGTAGTCCAGGAATTGATTAATAAAGAAATAGCACATATAAGTATTGAGGAACAAAATCAGCAATCATACAGTAGTCTGATAATAATTAAAAGGTGATCTAATTATTTATCCAAGAAGAAAATTTTTGAATCTTCCCTCCTTCTGCCTATCTTATGTCACAGTCTCAAAGCAGAGTTGTTCTGAATTGCAGACACTGCATAGTGACTGCTCTGTTCATTTGTTGTTTCCAAGTAATTTTAGTATGCCATTGTTATTTTCCAAATATTTCTATAGTGCCACTTATACGTAGAATTTAGACAACTTTCTTTTCCAAAGAAGAATGCCGACCTTATTATTGGCATAAAAATCTCAGCAAACCAGAAAAAAGAAATGGGCACAACTTCTGCAAGAGTTAGCAACAGAACTACTCTCTCTGCCTCTTAGGTTATATGGGGTGATAAGAAAGGAGAGCCACTAAAAGAAAAAAAAACTGGAAAAAAATATTGTAATATTTAATCTTTTAAAAAAAAACTTGGTTAAAGTTTCTCCCTAAGCAGAAATTATGGATGAGAATCAAGACTGATTCCTATCATTTACTGGATATCTCACATTCAATAAAATCTTTAAAGATTCTTTTAGCAAAACTATCTCTTACTCCTTATAAATACCCCAGGAATCCCCCAACATTTATTGCTAGTGAAATAAAGAAATAATCCATTATAGTAATAGATAAATTGAAGACAGTCTTGTGTTCATTCCTCTAATTCCATAAATAGGAAAAATATGAAAAGATTTATCAACCAGGTTTTTGTCCCCATTATGGCAATTAAATATTTTTCCTTTAGAATCCCTGTATTAATGCTACTATAACAGTATCATATTTGAAGAGAGTTGTATGACTCAGCAAATTACCAGGAGGTAGCAAGGAAATCTAGCTCACTCCTTCTGCCAAGATACAAAGTCAGGCAGCTGAAGGGGAAAACTCAACACCATGACAAACATGCCACAGAGGGACCTTGAAGAGACTTTGGAGCCCAAGTAAGAGTTCTGGTTGTATGTGTACTGTGCAAGAGTGGAGTCTTGACAGAAACTGATAGATGAACAACTAAAATCAGCTTAAATAATGAAGAAAATATACTGGCTTATAAACCAAAAGAAACAGAAATATTTGAGTTTAAATCATGGTTGGATCCAGGGCTCAAATCATCTCACCAACACTGAGACTCTTTTTTATGGGCTTTGCTTTCCTCTGCACTGACTTCATTGTTAAGAAAACTCTCTCTAATGGTGACTCTCAGCAGTCCCAAACTTAAGATTTACCAGCTTATCCACCTCAGTAGAGAGTGGGTGTCTCATCTCCCAAGACCTAGCAAAAGTTCCAGCCACAGGTTACAGGCCAACTATAGAATTCATTACTCTGATACTAAATGACCATCAATTAGAGTTGGAGAAGGGCAAAATTCATGTATTGCAATAGGGAAAGGATGGAGAAGGTGCCTATCACCAGCAGAAAAATAGTATATTTTATATCTTTTTTTATATCTATGCTTTTTTTATCTATTATGCATGCAGTCCTTTCCATTCTGGTGCCAGAGGAAATGTGGCACTTTACTCTGACGTTAAATATAATGAGGACACCATGGTCTTTGGACCATCAAAAACCACATTGCAGTTGATATTCCATTACAAGTAAAAAGGTGAATCCTTTTTATTCAACTAAGTGTTGACCCTTTCCAGGTGAAAGCAATAAAAGCTCCAGTTAAGATGTACTTAAAGTAAATATTCAGTCTGATGTCAGTATCTTCCCCCTTGGAAGAATTCACTAATATCACAAATTTAATAATTAAAGAAGAAAATGTATAACAATATCTAAAAAAAGTAATTTACCATTCCTAACATAAAGTTACTTTCACAAGAACACATAAGATTTCTCTGAATGAGAAAAAGAAGAATCCCTTCAGAATAGCCATTAGCAAATAGGTGTTAAGACAGAGGGAAAGACAATGAGGAAGCAAAGAAAAACCACTGACTGACAAGGTATGAATTGACAACCATCACTATGGTCCAAAAACAGATACAATATAAAATAAGTGAATTGTAAAAAAATTAATAATTGCTACTTTAATTCAAAAATATAATTTTTGAGTCAAACAATTTATAGAAATGCATTGTATCCAACATACGTAAATAACTATGCAAGGTACCACATCTGACTGTACATTTACGATTCTCCCTGCCATCAAACTTTCTCTCCACCAGGCTCTCCTACAAATCATACATGACCAACCTCCTATAAATACCATTTTCATAACAGTAGCCACTTCTTTAAAAACTTGGAATGTTCGCTAGTATTAACTGCATTAAATCTAAATCTCCTGTCCTGAGTTTTAAAGGGCTTTGTAACTTATACCAGCCTGCTTAGCAATCCTGTTTGCCACACTTCTTAATACATACTTTACATTTCATTTTGATCTTTTTATTATTCGGCTATACACTCCATGCTTATTTCAACTTCCGTAACTTTGCTGATGCTGGTTTTCCACTGTGGTAGAAAGAATAATGGTCCCCAAAAGATATCCCAGTCTTTAATTCCCAGAATCTGTGAATCTGTTATCTGACATGACAAAAGAGACTTTGCAGATGTAATTAAGTCAAAGATCTTGAGATGGAGCAATTATTCTACATTATTCTGCTGGGCCCAGTAAAAATCACAGGGTCCTTATAAGAACGAAGCAAAGGTTATAGTGATGCACTTTGAAGATGCAGTAAAGGGCCGTAAGCAAAGGACACAAGCAGCCTTTAGAAGTTGAAAAAGGGTTCCTGATTTGGCTTTCAGCTTGACTACTGTTGTACAGAAATGCTAGTGATTTTTGAATGTTGATTTTGTATCCTGAGACTTTGTGAACCTGCTTATCATCATAAGGAGCTTTGGGGCTGCGACTACAGGGTTTTCTAGGTATAGGATCAAGTCATCTGCAAACAGGGATAGTTTCACTTCCCCTCTTCCTATTTGGATGCCCTTTATTTCTCTCTCTTGCCTGATTTCTCTGGCCAGGACTAAGCAAAAATACCAAGGCAGCAGGCATAATGCTACCTGACTTCAAACTATACTATAGGGCTACAGTAACCAAAACAGCATGGTGCTGGTACAAAAACAGACACGTAGACCAACGGAACAAAATAGAGAGCCCAGAAATAAGGCCATACACCTATGACTATCTGACCTTCAACCAAGGTGACAAAGACAAGTAGTTCAACAGCTGGTACTGGGATAACTGGCTACCCATACACAGAAGACTGAAACTGGACCCTTCCTTACACCACATACAAAAATTAACTCAAGATAGATTAAAGGCTTAAATGTAAAACCCAAAACCATAAAAACCCTGGAAGATAATTGAGGTAATACCATTCTGGACACAGGAATGGACAAAGGTTTCATGTTGAAGATGTCAAAAGCAATTTCAACAAAAGCAAAAATTGACAAATGGGATATAATTACACTGAAGAGCTTCTTCACATCAAAAGAAACTATCAACAGAGTAAACAGACAAACTACAGAATGAGAGAAAATTTTTGCAAAGTACGAATCTGACAAAGGTCTAACATGCAGCATCTATAACAAACTTAAACAAACTTACAAGAAAGAAAAACCCAAACAAACCCATTAAAAAGTGGACAAAGGACATAAACAGACACTTTTCAAAAAAGGTATACAAGCAGCTAACAATATATGAAAAAAAACTCAAAATTACTGATCATTAAAGAAATGCAAATCAAAACCACAATGAAATATCATCTCACACAAATAAGAATGGCTATTATTAAAAAGTCAAAAAATAACAGGTGCTGGCACGGTTATGAAGAATAAAAGCACTTATACACTGTGAGTGGGAGTGTAAATCAGTTCAACCATTGTGGAAAACAATGTGGCGATTCCTCAAAGACCTAAAAACATAAATAACCATTCGACCTAGCCATCTCATCATTGTATGTATACCCAAAGGAATACAAATTGTTCTGTCATAAGGACACAAGGAACATCTATGTTCATTTCCTCACTATTCATAGTAGCAAATAGAACCAACCTAAATGCCCATCAATGGTAGACTGGATAAAGAAAATATGGTACATATATACCATAGAATACCATATAACCATAAAAAAGAATGAGATCTTGTCCTTTGCAGGAACACAGATGGACCTGGAGGTCATTATACTTAACAAACTAATGCAGGAACAGAAAATCAAATACTGCATGTTCTCACTTTTAAGTGGGAGCCAAAAGATCAAAACACATGGAAACATAGATGGGAACACCAAACACTGGGGCCTACTGGAGGGTAGAAGGTGGGAAGAGGGAGAGGATCTGGAAAAATAACTAATGGGTACTAGGCCTAATACATGGTCAAGAAAATAATCTGTACAACAAATCCCCCATGATATGAGTTTACCTATATAGCAAACCTGCACGTGTACCTTTCAACTTAAAAGTTAAAAAAAAAAAAAAAAAAGAAGAAGTTGGAAAGGGGAAGCAAATGGATTTTTCCCTGGAGCTTCCAGAAGTAATGCAGCTCTGCCAATTCCTTAATTCTGGCTTTGTAAAACTCATTTCAGACTTCTGACCTACAGAACAATAAGATAATTTGTGATGTTTTAAGACATTAAGTTTGTGATAATTTCGTTACAACAGGACTAATATAACTACCAACATTGCTTTCAATAAATACTGTTAATGTTCAACACTATTTTCTCTACAAAGGCTTCTATGACCTATTCCTTGTAATGGATATGTCCTATATCAAGGGTTTCACACCAGAACAGTCTTTTTTAGTGCGTTAATTGTCTGAAGTACACTCTAAACCTTTTGAGAGAAGGGATCATCAGAGCTAATGCTTCACATACTCTACTGTAGTTACACACTTATGCATGCTTTTGTCCTATGTGTGTTTATTCAGCAAACATTCATCGATGGCGTGATTCATACAAAGTAATTGCCCAGTACCTGTGGAACTTAGTAAAACAAGCTACTGTCCTTGTCCTCTAGAATAATATCTTGGGAGTGATAAAACATGTACTCAAAAAACTAAAGGAAAATCCAGAACAGGGTAAGTAAAATTAGAGTCAAGAAAGAAAAGCTTTAGGAGTTTAGATATGGAAGAGTTAAGTTTGTTGGGTGATTCAAAAATAACCTCCAGGACATGGCATATTGCCCCATTTATCTTTAATATGTCCATGTTTGATGTTTTTCCTTCCTTTGTACTTACCTCACACTAATCGTCTTTCTTGTATCACTTTCTGGTATTTTTACTTGGTTTGAGGTTTGTTCCAGTGAGAAAGAGATGGGCCTAAAACAACCCATCCCTCTGAAATGGCTCTGACTCTCTTCTCTCTTTCCTCTGTTTCCATTGCCATTGCCTAATACCTGTATTTCCATTATTAATTACTAAGTACCATTTTCATCAGTATGCCCTCCAATCAGTTTTCATTAGCTAGAACCTTGTTCTCTCTCCAGAGTCCCTTCACTGAGCCATGAAATGAAAAGATTTGAAAGCACTTATGGGATACTGACCTCTCTATTGAGCAACTGTCTACGTCCATTAAGGTAGAGCTATATGCTGTCATCAGTTAATCTAATTTTAAAAATTGATCGTTATATTGTATGGCAGATGCACCTGACAGCAATGACGACTTAACCATACCCTTAGAATGACCCTGTATGGTCAATGCACCTGACAGCATTAACTTCAGCATACCCTGAGAATGCTCCTGTATGGCCAGTGCGCTTGACAGCAATAACTTAAGCATACCCTGAGAATGACCCTGTATGGCAGATGCACCTGACAACAATAACTTAAGCATGCCCTCAGAATGACACCATGGCCTAAGAAGAATGTGTGTTCAGAGTTCTGAGCTAAGAAATCCAGGAACAGCCAACTTGAAGATTCATTCCTTATCTATAAGGAACCTCTAAACCCCTGACCCATCCTGTGGAATGCAAGCCCATACAGGGAGATTAAGGCCTTTTGTTTGGGGTTAAATGATGGTTGCCACGTGAAGGTTGCCAAGGGGAGGGTGCTAAGTGAAGACTGCATGTTTTTTTACAAACTGTAGTGGTTCTCCTGTCCAGCCCACTGCCGCTGGACCACACTGTATGTAAGTCCCCTGAATAAACCCCACGTCTCATTCACTGGATCCAAGTTTCTCCTTTATCCTCTTCTTTATCCAACACAGTGCTATCCCTATTGAAATCAACAGGGGTTTGGCATGGCATATATAATCAAGTTGCATGCTAACAATAAACAATCTAATTTCATAGTATTATCCAAACTTTCTTTCTTAAAACGTACTGGTTGTTTAGCATAGAAGAGGTTCAGTTGTCAAAAAATTTGGGGAAGAGTGGATTAAATGGTTACATAGATTTCTTTACTGTAGGGTTTCTCAGAGCCTTTACCATATTAAAGTGCATTGTGAATCCACAAGGGATATACAAGATGCAATATTTCAAAAAGTTACTGTGCCACAAAATCCTGGTTTTATTATTGTTGTTTGTTGTGATTGTTTGTTTTGGTTTCACTCACATGAACAATTTTGGAAATGACAATTTGGGAAATACCAATACAGTAGAAAGGAAGCAGAGAGGAAGCTCTGAAATTTGAGTTTTAGTGCTAGCTCTTCCATTAACTAACTGCAGGACTAAAGCTTCTGTGGACTGTAATAATTTCCTATTTATAATTGAAAGGGGTAAATTAAATTATCTCTGAGGTTCCTTCCAGCTCTAGCATCCTATGATTCTATTTTCTCTGAATTAACCTAATTGTCCAGTGGTTTGGATTGTGTTCAGACAGTGAACAACTAATACTTTCACTTCCAATTGGCACATCCCTTTTAAATGTTGGAAGTCCGTCCTATAATAACTTTATATAAATATGAAGCAATGTTACATATAGGGTTAATTGCATATAAACATTAGCCACACTCCAAATGTTCAAAGGATGAATGAATTACAAATAATCTAAATTGGTCATAGAACTAAAGTAGCCTCAAAAGATGGCCATAACTCAGTAAAGCTCTGACTTCATGAATTATTATATTTACTATTTTTGTTTTTTATTTTTTACCAAAAGTTCTTCAAGATCCAGAATGAGTATACAACTTGCTTGCAAATTCACAAAACTAGTCACTATTAAGTCTGCCTTATGGTGTAGTATCCTCATTAAAAATTTATTACATATGAAAGTCTGCCTTATGGTGTATTCTTATTTTAAATTTATTACAAGTGAAAAAGAATAAGAAAATGAATACCAATTTACCGACTGTCCACCTAAAGCAGTAAAATGTTACCAAAATGTCACCTATGCTACATTCTTCCTCTTCTCCCCAGAGGTAATCCACAGTACTTTCAACAGTAAATAAAATGAGAATGTAAAGAAAGCTCTACAGTAAATGCCAATTGCAACCAATTAGAAAGACTTGTCCAGATTAATTTGATGTATGGATTTTACTGATTTAAATGTTCTCTGCATGAACACACACTTAGTTTTATAGGATTTCTGAAATGTTGCGTACTAATAAAGGGATATTATTATAGAATTCATACATAAATGACTAGGCAATGATACAAATATTATCGTAATATTTTTAAAAAGTATCAATCAAAAATCCTTCAGAATATTCCCAGACTATCAATGGGCTATCAATTACAAGGCTTCTAGCATGATGAGTAATTTTTTCTCCACTGGAAATTTTCAAAAAGCGCTCTCATTCTCTTTCTTTTCTTTTCTTCTCCTTCCTTCCTTCCTTCCTTCTCTTTTCTCATTTCTTCACATTTTATATATTTTGCTGAAGAAAAATAAATATTGACTCAGTTTTTTTACACTACATTTCAGTACATAACATCTGGAGATGGGAGGTTTATAGATGCATCACCATTATCTAAGTGGCCAAAGCATTTACTAAAGGTTATTACATAATTTGTAGAGATGTGGAGATTCTAAAGGAAAGACACAGTAGGAGTAGGCTAGGACTTACATTATGCAAAATGGAATTTTACATGAATCTAATTATTCAGGTGATTGCTAACTGTGCACCTTTTCCCCAATAGCAGCAGCTTCCAAAATGTTCTTGTAAGAATTTAATGGAGTCAAGATTTATAACAAGTAGCTCAAAACTGGGGTGGAGGGTGAAAGAGAGAAGAAAGAGGAAAAAAAGTTTGAACAATCATGAACCGTTTTCTAATGGCTATAGTAAGATAAAACATGTATTAGAAGATTTAAAATGTCTAGTGAATACAGACACAAAGCACTCTCCCAGGACTTTATAAATCTAATCCATAAGAGAAGCTATCTGGATATAGGGCTTGGCATGACTGTTGACCCTCATTTAACAGTTATCTGTAATTTCCCCAGCATTATTTCACAGAAAGTTACACATGTCAAAAATATGCACTTATTGCCATCAAAATGTGTCCCCAAAAGAAGAAAATTTGTCCCCAGTGGGAAAGGAGTAGTATATTTGGTAGTGAAATATAAGAATATAGTCAACTTACATAATAATTAGAGACGTGATATTAAGATTTTATCAGTTCTCATTCTGAAACTATAAAACCAACCCATGTTAGAAGTTCCCCAATTCCTCATCCCATCATTCAGATTCTCATCAGAAAAACACATGAAAATTGAATTTTGAGGGTCATTTAGTTAAGTAGCAGGTGTTCCAATATCTCTATGTCATCTTCTACATACGAGCCTGTGTTTAGAGAAATAAAAATTATATTTGCCTTTGATATTACACATTGAAGGTATCTAGAGAAAGTGAATTATTATTGAAGGGAATTAAAATAACACTACTGAACCACTTAAATTCATTCTTTCCTCTGCCCGCAATTGCATCTTTTAAGTCCCACAACACTAAGAACAAAGCCTACATCCCAACCTGAAAACCTGATGATTTGACATTGATCTCTCATTTTTCATCTATGCTTTGATGCTCAGTTCAGCCAATAAATAAGGAAACTCCTGGATGCCTTTATCTATGTGTGTATACCTTACACAACAGTATTTTCATAATGTGTTATTTGTATCTATGATAATGTATTCATTCATTCATTCATTCATTCAAAAATATCATGCACTTAGTGTGTGATGAACATTGTACTGGACACTGGGGATTAAGTTGTTAGAAAAGCAAAATGGTTTCCGTCCCCATGGAGCTTACTATGTAATGTGTAGGAAGAAGAGCTAGAGGATGCTATGAGAGATATACCAGGCAATTTTTATAAATCAGAATTCAGGTAAGGCTTCTCTGAACAAATGATAATTACATTTAGGTCTAATTTAAATCTAATAATAAAATTTAGGCTTGTATATGCTATTCTTAACACAAATATACCTTCAGAAAATTTACTCTCAAAGATAAGAGGCTAAAAGTACTTTGTATTAATTTGAATGCCCACTGGGGTAGAAAATATAAATTATGTCCTCTTGAGCAATGTACGTCACCAGCCCAAAACATCATGATTTGAGTCAGGTGTTGAAAGTGTGGCACACATACACCATGGAATACTACGCAGCCATAAAAAAGGATGAGTTCATGTCCTTTGTAGGGACATGGATGAAGTTGGAAACCATCATTCTCAGCAAACTATCGCAAGGACAGAAAACGAAACACCACATGTTCTCACTCATAGGTGGGAACTGAACAATGAGAACACTTGGACACAGGGTGGGAACATCACACACCAGGGCCTGTCATGGGGAAGGGGGAGGGATACCATTAGGAGATACACCTAATATAAATGACGAGTTAACAGGTGCAGCACACCAACATGGCACATGTATACGTATGTAACAGACCTGCACGTTCTGCACATGTACCCTAGAACTTGGAGTATAACAAAAAAAAGAAAGGAAGAAAGAAAGAAAGTGCTTCATTTTGCCTTTATGGTGATAACATTTACCAGGGCTCTGTTTTTACAAAGTAATATTGCAGAACAAAGACAGTGGAATTCTCTGATTATCTTGCACAGTGAATATGTCAAAAACCAATTAACTTGTAGACAACGTTTGTATGTTACATTAGACATTAGAAGAATAGAAGTTAACCGGTAAATATTCAAGGGAAGGATACTTCAGACAGCGAAAATAGCACGTACAATGTCTCTGAGAGTGAGAGAGAGCATGGGAAGAATGCTAGGAAGTTTGAGAGGTGTACAGAGGAAAGGAAGGGCTGGGAACAAGCCACGTGGAAGGCTGGGTGGATGAACACAAGCCTGCAAAGTAAACTAAGAAAACACAGGAAAAGGGGTTAGAAAGAGAAAAGGAAAGAGTAAAGTTACAGAAACCAAAGAAAGAAGGTATTTCAAGAAGTAGAGAGTCTTCAATAATGGTATTACTGAATGGAGAAGTTTGATGGACTGAAAAATGTCCCTGGAGGTAATGAATGTTAGCAAGAAGCTATACTTCTAGTTTTTATAATTTTTAACCCATTTAAAAACAAAAAAAGACACTTCATATCAGAGTACCTTGTTTTAACCCTTCATTAGTGGTCAAAGTTTCATTCTGGCCCAAATGAGAGTTTAAAATTTGAACAATATTGCTTGGGTTTCTAAGTAAAAATTCAGTCTTTTCAAAAGAGGTAGCTCAATTCCCGGCCTAGTCAGCCACTCAATAGCTCTCTTTTTTCTTTGCTATTCTTAAGATAAATGTACCTTCAGAAAATTTACTCCCAACGATAAGAGGCTAAAAGTACTTTGTACTAATCTGAATGCCCCCTGGAGTAGAAATTATAAACTATGTCCTTTTGAGCAATGTACGTCACCAGCTCAAAACACCATGATTTCAGTCAGGTGTTGAAAGTGCTTCATTTTGCCTTTATGGTGATAACATTTACCAGGGCTCTGTTTTTACAAAGCAATATTGCAGAAAAAGATAGTGGGATTCTCTGATTATTTTGTACAATGAATGTGTCAGAAAACAATTAACTTGTAGACAACTTTTGCATGTTACAATTGCAGGGAAATACATGATTGATGAGTAAATTTATCCATCAATCTTACATTAACTGAGCAGCACCACACAATTGATCTGTCCTATTAGGAGGAGAAAACAGCATGGGACGCTCTGACCATGGCCAAGATACCACTGCTCAGGTGGGTGGGAAAAAATTCTCGAATGCTAATTTATCAAACAAATGACAAGAATTCATGTCCACTAGCATACATTCATTCAAATTAAAATACAAATTATTTTCTAATTATCCTCTGTTCTCGAAAATCCATACTATTATTGCCTTCCATTACTAACCCTAAAGTAGGGGTCAGTGAATACCAGTCCTAGTTTCAATATCGAACCACATAATTCCATTTCCCCACATATAAAATAGGGATAGTACACCATCCTATTTACCTTAAAAGTGTTATATAGATTATATGAGATAACAAGTGTGAATGTACTTTTGTAAATGTTTTTAAAGCTCTATACAAATGCAACTTATTACAATCATCACATGTAGTATACATTAAGCCAATTACATAAACACAAGCATTTCAAAAAACACTTGTGCTTATAAAATGTTATTATTGCCCACAAAATGTGCGTTGATTGTACATTCCCCCTATTGGAAGAACTTCTAAAAATATGCTCACACACATATATCCCCCTACACATACAGAGAGAGACAAAGAAAGAGAAAAAGAGAGAGAGATTTTCTGCATTGAATTACTGGGGAAAAGGAGGATAACTACGTGTATCTGGCATACACAGTTCATTCTCATGCTGTATTCCTTCTTCCCCTTCTTGATCACAAGAGAGCCACCACTATTAAGTGGGTACACTGCCATCCAGAAAGGATAATATTTTATAGCCCCTCTTATAGCTAAGCAAGGCTCTAGGGCTAAATTCTGACCAATGGAATATAATTTAAAATGTCATGTTGAATGTGTCTTTATAGTAAAAGTGTCCTTAAAGTCTTCCATCCTTTCCTCCTTCCTGTTAATTGGAATGCATACATAATGCTGAAACTCAAGCAGACATCCTGGGCAATGGGGAAAAGTTACAGGCTATAAGAAGCAGAACAAAATGATAAAAGGTGTCTAGATATCTGAAACACAAATAACAACTCTAGACTGCCTACATATTTCTTTCTCATGAAAGAAATACAAACTTCTGTTATTTTGGGTCTTCAGTGACTCATGCACAAACCTCATCCTATCTGGATACCACATATGTATATGATATTTGTATATGTATTTGTATACACATATACAAAGTGTGTGCTTATGTTATCTACAATGATCTGTACAACTGTTTATAAACATAAATATATACAAATATTTATACTATATGAAATATAAATTTGTTCATGTTTAATTTGAAATAAAACAAAAACAAAATAAAAGACCATGACTATTCAACTGTCTAGTAGGACAGACACTTTCAACGTGGAATACTCCAAAAGGCCCACAGTATTACCCTCTTCAAAATCTCTAAACTGTCAAAAAGATAGTCACCAGAAATCATATTTCTAAATTTGATCTTATCACAGTCCATCTTAGAGTCCTCCAATGGCTTTCTATTTCCTTCAGGACAAAGTCCAAATAATAATTCTGGGTTGCTAAGGGCGCACTTTTATTCCTCCTCTGCATGCATCCTGTACTCCAGCCTCACCCTGCATCTCTGCCTTTGTACAGAGAGGCATATCTCTTTTGCTTCAAATTCCTCACTCCAGCCCCTATATCTACCTTGCTGATGGCTAACTATCCTTTCAAGTTCAACTCAAATCTTATCTCCTCTGAGTGTCTTTCCATGACACTCTTCCACATGCATCTGCTTGTTGCCCCTTCTTACGATTTCATGCATAAATTTATTCTTTTGATAAAAATCTAAGTACCTACCAAGCAGCAGGCACTATTTCTATTATAATCATCGAGTATATTAGTCATCAGTTTTTCAAAACCTGCCACCACCCAATCCTGCAGCACATAAATAGTATGTTTTTCAATTTATTTGATCCTTTACACCATGTATATGGTGTTCAGTAACTGACTGATGAGTTAATTAGTTTGGGGCAATCTGCCCTATTCACCCTGTTGTCAGAGTTTCTTGACTTCATTTATCTTCCTTTCTCCACTTACATGGCCTCTAAATTTAGATAATGTTATCCAGGGACAAAGATATATTAAATCTCAAAATCTGAAAGTCATCTTTTTTATCCATAAAGTAACTTCTTGCACTGTTCGTTCTCCACCAAAACTGCACTTAGGCATCCAGTCCAACTCCATGCTTTTTGCCAGCCACCAAAGCCCTGCTGAGACCTCATGCCAATCACTTCAATGACTCTGAGTCACACTATTGAGTCCCTTATTCCTGCCACCCTTATGTTGTATCATGGCTACCCAACAATCATTACAACTGGTTCAACTTAATTATTTGTTTACAACGGCAGCTGCTACTGGGAGAAGAAATAGGAGCCTTTGACAGAGATGAAGATGCTTAGGTTAAATGACCGGCATAAAAACTAAGGTAGGTAGAGATATTCAGTGGTATACACTGATTAAAAGCCAGGGAATTAGGTCTCTTGAATCAGAATTAATTCCAGCCTTATATTCCCATTATTACATCAGAGATTGTCAACGGTTGCAATTTATAATGTCAACTTCATCTTTGGCCAGTAGGGCTAGAGTCCTACCTAGTTCTTTACCAGTCTTTGAAGGTTATTACCACAGTGATCCTGGATAAATCACTTCAAAACTTGCCTGACAAAGTCTCTCTCTGAAGAGTGGGGGTTGGGGGAATGAACAATCACCTGTGCCTACACAGGGCACAGATGATTCTCTGGGTAACTTGTCTAAAAAAGTATTTTAAGGATGCTGAGAACCAAAAATGATTTTGAGGCCGGGCACGGTGGCTCACGCCTGTAATCCCAGCACTTTGGCAGGCCAAGGCGGGTGGATCATGAGGTCAGGAGATCGAGACCATCCTGGCTAACACCGTGAAACCCCCTCTCTACTAAAAATACAAAAAAAAAAAAATTAGCCGGGCGTGGTGGCGGGTGCCTGTAGTCCCAGCTACTCAGGAGGCTGAGGCAAGAGAATGGCGTGAACCCAGGAGGCGGAGCTTGCAGTGAGCCGAGATCACTCCACTGCACTCCAGCCTGGGCGACAAAGCAAGATGCCATCTCAAAAAAGAAAGAAAAAAAAATGATTTTGAATGAGCAAGCTATTTATTTCACAGGGTTTGAATGAGAAATTCATCATCACATGCTGCTGGGAAAGTGACACGATTGTTTTTGTTTCCCTTGCTTTCTGGTTTCTTTTAAGAGCTATCCTTTATAGCCAACAGGCGTTTGTACCACAATAAGTGCAATGATTTAGTAAACATCTAATTCATCATTTCTGGTTGCTGAATAACAAAATTACAACAATGGTTTCCTTGTCCCATAAGAATCATTTTTAAAAGTTCATTGCTCCACTGCTATACTTCCTTTGATCACTGGAAAAGCAATCTGATTTCCTTTCCAATTAGACATCTTGATGTATCCTCCTACTTTGGCCCATTCTCTACCTTAGAACAACAAATTATTTTAACACTTCTTGAGGACAGGAAGACCAGGGAGAGCTATAGATAATACAAAATGGCTATTCAAGACATAGCAAGAAAAGCCTCTTCAAAGGTACAACTTAGAAGGTTATAGGTTAATCCGGTATTCTCTATTTAGAAAAAAAAAACCTTAAAAATTGTCCATTAGATTAAAAAAATTACAATGCACTGTATCTCTTAACATAGTAAGCATTTCATAAATAAAAACTGGTTCCTTTAAATGACTTTTCGTTGCCATGCCTCCAGGTTTCCACTTTCTATTAGTCATTTAACAATATTCCCAAGGATAAAAACGTACTTTAACTCCTACTTTTCAGAAGACAATCACATTATACATTCTCAGAAGTTTAGACACAGTATTTTTGGTATATTTTTAAAAAATGTTCTCCAAGGTAAGTTCCTGTGTGTTTAAAAAAGTGCCCAGAAAAGTTGTGGAGATAGAAGCTTCAAGACAAATCAGACAAAAGTCAAATGACAGAAAATAAATGACCACATAACAGAGTCTCATAAACTTCTGAAGAGACCATAGAGAATCCTGACTTCCTATCTCAGATCTGCTTAAATCCAACCCCTCACGTCTCAAGCATTCCAAAATCTATTTCAATTGTCTCACAGCTCACTTCCACAGCAAGGAAAAATCCAGTGCTAACACATTTATTACAGGACCTTTGAAACCTGAAGAAATTTCAGAGCAAAGATAAAAAATGATTTTATTTTACACAAGTGCTAAAACTTTTGGGTTTTTTCTTCATTTTGAAATCTCTTGAGATGTCTGCAAAACTATTATATGTCTTGGCTGCTTCACCTCCCACTGTCCAATAAAATTCCAGTCATTTCACAGTATCAGTCAACTACATATTGTGCATATGGCTTTACATACCTGCCAAAAAGGTGTCTAAAGAAACTGAAGCCTATATTACAACCAAGGTCCTTCAGTGTGATAAAGCATATTAATTTTTGGCATTACGCAACTTAATGTATTTCAGAGGGTTCTTTAATGCTGATTTTTATTTATAATAGAAAAGCAATTACCAAAATTGCAAGTTTGCAAAAACTTCTGTACTAAGAGTCCACCTTATATAATTAATAAATCTCTTAACCTCTCAGACCTTCACATTACTAAAATGATGCATCTCTGTATAGTGTATTTGAAGATCCTCACCTAATTTGTCACTTCACCTGGCCCATGCTGCCCTTTCTTCTGATTTTAAGTATTCCAGTTAAGTAGTAATAAATTGTTATCTTATCTTCATTGCCCGTTAAATCTGCTACTGTATGTTTTTCCTTGCTTTAAGTTCAAAATCTGTGAATTTATTATCTATATGCTATAAGGGTACTTCATCAAAACCCAACTCTTCAGTAAACGTTTCTCTAGTCTTAAGTGCACTTGTAATTGCATAACCAGCAACCTGTTCTAGCTAATTTAAGTAACTTCTCCTTTCTTATGCTTCACAATCTCACTACCTATAATAATATCAAGAGGAAAACAGTAGCACAACCCTTCCTTGATGTTCTGCTGATACTCTTCAGGATGCTGGTTCTGGCTCTTTGACTGACTTTACTTCTTCCACCTGAAACTTAAGTTCTAGTCAAGAAGGCTCAGTAAATGGCCATTGCTACATGCCTTCTGTACTCACTATTTGGGAAATTCACGATTCTGACTTCTTCCTGTATGTGACGGTTCATGACCTTAACCTGCCACACTTACCAAAATTTTTCCTGCTGGCCACAGAATAGAACCACTAGGAGATTATGCTATCCAATCAATTTTTACACAAAATTTCATCTAGTTGATTACACACAACCACCTCGGATATAACTGCAATCTTCACAGCTCACTGTACTGCATAAACACTGCAGAAAATATCATTTAAAAAACATTAGACTTCTATTCAAGATGACTCTTTAAGTTTAAGCCTAGAGAAACTACTGAAGTTCCACCACATTGCAATGATGACAAAATATAAATAGAGAACATTATAATGTTATACCCTATTAAAGAGCAATTGGGTGGTTTCCTGGTTTGGGAAGTTATTCATAAAGCTGTTAGAAATATTTGTGTGCAAATCTTTTTATGAGCATTTTACCTATTTCCCTTCAGTATATTCCCATTAATGAAATTGTTAGGTCATAGGGTAGAAGTATGATTAACATTACTAGTGATTGCCAAATAGTTGTGCAAAATGGTTATACCAGTTACATTTCCACCAGCAAAGTAAGAGAGTTCAATTTGCTCCTTATCCTTGCTGATATTTAGTATTGTCAGTCTTTCCAATGTGAGCCATTGGTAGTGGTATGTCACTGTGGTTTTAATTTACATTTTTTGATAATGATAATGTAAGCATCTTTTTCTATACTTTTTTGTCCATTTATTAAAAAATAGCTGATCAAGCCTTTGCTTTTATTTAAACTGAATTGTCTTTTTATTGATTTATAGTAATTCTTTATGTACTCTAGATACAAGTCTATTGTCAGGAATATTTATTGCAAATATTTGCTCCCTGTCTGTGGATTGCCTTTTCACTTTCTGCCTTTTGATGAAGAAAATATTTAATTTTGATGAAATTTAATTTCTAATTGTTTTCTGTTATTGTTTGTGCCTACTATATTCTGTTAAAAATGTCTTGCTTTTTTCAAGATCCTGAAGATATTTTGTGATTTGCTCTAGAAGCTGTATTTATGTCTATGATCCATCTTGAATTAATTTTTGTTTATTTATATGAGATAGGTTCAAGTTTGTTTTTCCATATAAATACTCAGTTACTGCAACACTATTTAATGTAAAGGTCTTCTATTCTTTATTGAATTGCTTTGGTGCCTTTGTCAAAAATCAATATATATTTGAACCTATTTCCGAACTTTCTATTCTGTTCCACTAATCTATCAGTTATTATGCCAATACCATACTGTGTTATTTACTGCCAGTTTATAGTAAATCTTGGGTCTTGCTTGTTCTCTAACATTGTTCTCTTCTTGAAGAAATGTCTTAGCTAACCTAAGCATTTTGTATTCTCATTTAAATTCTAAAGACAGCAGCGACTACAAAAATGCAGCTGAATTTTTATTGGGATGCACTGGAGTTATGTATCAGTGGGTAGAGAAATAGCATCTCAATGACAGTTTTTAAATCCATGAACATAGTATATTTCAATATATACTTAAGTCTCCTTTAATTTCTCTGCAAAATTTTGCAATTTGGGGTATAGAGGACTTGAACATCTATTATTTTAGGTATTGGCATCCTAAGTATTTCCCAGACAGTAGTTGATGCTATTGTAAATGGCATTTTAAAATTATTTATTAAAAAATTATTTATTTATTGTTGCTTATTCCATTTTCCAAATGGTTTGTTCATAGCATATACAGCTGTCTATGGTGACACAGTAAATAATAACTATAAATTTAGGGCCATTTCCCTTTGACCAATGCTATCTCTCATTTTCAGATCTTTCTCTCATATTCTGGGCCTGTAATATATTTGCGGTCATCATCCTAGCCAGATTATAATTGAACTTTTGTAATAATTTCTTGCTTTCTGGACTTTCAACTAAGACCAGAAATTATAGCAGAACTGTTACTTTTCTTTTTTAATTGATATGTTTACTTTCCCAAAAACTTGCCAGTGTCCCAGTCCTGAAATGTGTCAATCTTCCTACCTTTGTTCTTACAACTTATATCAAGTTAGCTAGCCCTAGCGTCGCACCCACAGGAGTTTCCAAGTTTATTTATTGCCCTTCCTCCTTCAACAAAGAATGTTCCAAAAAATAGTTGTGTATCGTTTTTCCTGATTTTAGTAAATGATGTTCAAAAATTTCTTTATTTCCTCCTTGTAGTAAAGAATGCTTTAAAAGTCATTGTAAAAATATATTGTGTGATGGGGGTCTTGGCATGAAAATTATCCAATGTGTAGAAAATGTTTGGGGTTTGCAAGAAACTTGTATTCAGCAAACTTGGTTAAAGCCATTATTTACATACAAGAGAATTCTTAAAGTCCTTTCCAACACTGAAAAGTAATTATTCCTAGAAGTGATTATTAAATAATTGTATTTAGTTCACCAGTCCATTAAATGTGTTTAGAGACTAGAAAAGTGGGGCGGATGTATTTCTTTATAAGGCAACATTAGCAATAACAACAACAAAAAAAAGTTTCCTGCAAGGAAAGATGTTCACATAGGAAAATCTTCTTCCCAAAAAATGTCAGGAACAATATTTAAGGGGAGCTTTAAAGGTATCTGTTCTTTTTGATATTTCAAGTGTGCAAATCAAAACGAGAAAAATATCTTACAAGATCATCCTAAACATCTCCTCAGTCCCAGGGAACTAGCGTCATATATATGACATAATTTTTGGCTAAGCCAGAAAGGACTTTAACTTGACTTTAAAGGCAAGTAGCACATATCTATTTGTAACCACTGAATCAAAAACATGTTGGTTAAAGGCATCTTGCTGAAATCAAAATGTACAAAATTTCATGGAAGGAAAGAGAAAATAATTTAGTCTTTAAAAAAAAACTTAAAGGATTGGGGAAATAAATAATCCAATAAATTCTGTTTGTTTCTTATTTCTGTCACACATAGGCCAAATATATATATACCACCTATACTGAAATATAAAATTATAGGGTACAACATAACTATATAATTTTAAAATATATGGTGGTGGCCTCCAGTTTCTGGTCCCACATGTAAGAAACTTGGAAGTCACCACTTCATCCTAACAATAAGTAAAAAGCAGAATAAACTGAAAAATTAGCAACTCTTCTTAAATCTATAAGAGAAATGATGTCACTGGGCAAACCACTGCCCCTAAAACTGGAGAGAAAGACAGGCAGATACAGAGAATAATGACTTACTGGAGCAGCAGCCCACAAGCAAAAACGTCCTTGGGAACCAGTGCCACAGTAGAGAAACCTGAACAGCAGTTTACAAATTACTGGAGGCTCGGTGTCGACAAGTCTGAGAGACTAAAAACTCCAGGGGCACCCAGTCATCCCGGAGACTGCACACTTTTGTGATTATTACTTCATGGAGCTCTACTAGCTTCTCACAGTGAATACTAGAGGAAAATTCCCTTATGATTCCCACAAGGGAAGGGGGAAAAGACCCATTTAGAAATACACCAGATCATTTTGTACTTCTCAAAAATGTCTGCCCTCAGGAGAATATATGTAATCACTGCCTATCCTACTAGGATTTTATCAGAGCCTAACTGACCCAGGTGAAAGGAAATACCCAACTCCAATCAACTCTAGCCTTCCGCATGGAGGAAGAGAAATACCCAACAGGTCAAGAAACAGAGTAAGTAAAGTTATCAGGGATGAAGAGGGTCATTACATAATGATAAAGGGGTCAATTTTCCAGAAAGACATAACAATCCTTAATGTGTATGTGCCGAACAACAGAGTGTCAAAACACATGAGACAAAAACTGATAAAAGTTTAGGGAGAAATAGAGGAATCCACTATTACAGCTGGAGACTTCAACACCACTGTACCAGAATTGGGCAGATCTAACACGCAGAACATCAGTAAGAATACAGTTGAATTCAACAACATCAATCAACTGGATATAATGCATATCTAAAGGCTACTTAATCCAACAAAAGCAGAATACACATTATTCTCAAGTTCACATGGAATGTTCACCAAGCTAAACCACAATCTGGGCCATAAAACACACTTTAACAAATTCAAAAGACTAGAAGTCTTACAATGTCTTGAAATGGGGTTAAATTATGAGTCAGTAACAGAAAGGTAGCTAAAAAATCCCCAAACACTTGAATAACCTATGTCAAAAAAGAAATCTGAATAAAAATATAAAAATATTTTTGACTAAATAAAAATAAGTACACAACTTAGGAAAATTTGTGATTCAGTGAAAGAGTGCAAAGAGAGTAACACCACTGAATGCATATATAAGGAGAAAAGATCTAAGATCAATTACCTAAGCTTTCACTTTAGAAAGCTACAAAAAGAAGAAAAAATTAAATCCAAAGTCGGCCTGAGAAAAGAAATAAAGTCAGAATAGAAACCTATGAAATTGAAAACAGGAAATAAACAGAGAAAAGTCAATGAAAACAAAACGTGGTTCTTTGAAAAGGTTAATAAAACTAATAAGCCTCTAGCCAGGCTAACTAAGAAAAAAAGAGAAGGGATACAAATTAATAAGACCAAAATAAACAAGGAGACATCACTATGCATTCTCTGGACATTACAAGAATAACAAAGAAATACTCTATGCCCACAAATTTGATAACCTAGATAAAATGGATCAATTCCTTAAAGACACAATCTGCTGAATCTCACACAAAAGATAATCTGTAAAGCTCTATATCTATTAAATAAATTTAATCAATAATCAATAACTTTCCAAAACAGAAATGACCCAGGCCAGATGAGTTCACTAGTGAATTCTACCAAACATTTAAGAAATAAATTATACCATGCCATTTTTCTAAATCTTTCCCATAATATAGAAGTGATGAGAATACTTGTGATATGGTTTGGCTGTGTCCCCACCAAATCTTATCTTGAATTATAGCTCCCATAATCCCCATGTGTCAAGGAAGGGACCTGATGGGAGGTAAATGAATCATGGGGGCAGGTTTTTTCCATGCCGTTCTCATGATAGTAAGTCTTACAAGATCTGATGGCTTTATAAAGGGCAGTTCCTCCGCACATGCTCTCTTGCCAGCTGCCATGTAAGACATACCTTTGTTCCTGCTTCACCTTCTGCCATGATTGTGAGGCCTCCCCAGCCATGTGGAACTGTGAGTTCATTAAACCTCTTTTTCTTTATAAGTTACCCAGTCCCAGGTATGTCTTTCTTAGCAGCATGAGAATGGACTAATACAACTTCCTAACTCATTCTGAGGCCAGTATCACCCTAATAACAAAACCAGACAAAGACATTACAAGAAAAGAAAACGACAGACTGATATATCTTATAACATAAATGCAAAAATTATTAACAAAATAGATTCACAAATCAAGCCGGGTATGGTGGCTTGGGCCTATAATCCCAGCTACTCAGGAGGCAGGAGAATCGCTTGAACCTGGAAGGCGAAGGTTTCAGTGAGCCAAGATCGTGCCACTCCAGCCTGGGCGACAGAGCAAGACTCTGTCTCAAAAAAAAAAAAAATATATATATATAGTATACATATATACAGATATATATACACACATATACGTATATATTCACAAATCAAATCCAAGAATGTATAAATGTAAGTATACACCACAACCAAGTAGTATTTTTCTCAAGCATGCAAGTCTAGTTTAATATTTAAAAATAAATTAATGTAATCCATCACATCAATAGGCTAAAGAAGAAAAACATCACATGATCATATCAACAGATGCATAAAAAGCATCTGACAAAATCCAACGTCAATTAAATCTCTCAGTAAACTAGTAATGAAGGGGAACTTCATCAACTTAATAAAGAATATCTACAAAATCTCTACAGCTAACATTATTCTTAATGGTAAAAAACCAGCTTTCCCACTAAGATGAGGAGCAAGGCAAGAATGTACCATCTCACTACTCCTTTTAAATATTGTACTGAAGTCCTAGCTAATAAAATAATAAAGGGAAATAAAATTACTATGGTTTGAATAATGTGGTCCTCTCCAAAATACATGTTGAAACATAATCTCCAATGCAACAGTATTAAGAAGTGTGGCCTTTGGAAGTGATTATCTCACAATCCACTCTCATGAATGGGATTAGCATCCTTATAAAAGGGCTCAAGGGTGAAAAAAGTGCTCTCTTGCTATTCCATCCCTTCTGCCACATGAGGATGCAGCATTCTTCTCCTCTCAAAGAGGAATATTGGAAGCACCATACTGAAAGCAGAGAGCATCCCTCGCCAGACACCAATCCTGCCACTGTCTTGATCTTGAATTTCCCAGCCTCCAAAGTGTGAGAAATAAATTTCTGTTCTTCATAAATTATCAAGACTGTGTTATCACAGAACAAATGAACTAGGACAAAAAGGTGTAGTGATTGGAAAGGATGAAATAAAACTGTCTCTGTTCAGAGATCACATGAATATCTATGTAGAAAATTCAAAAGAACCAACAAAAAAATTCCTGAGACTAATAAAATGATTATAGCAAAATTTCAGTGTATAGGGTTAATATACAAAATCCCATTACTTTTCTGTATAACAGCACTGAACAAGTAAAATTTAAAATTAAAAATACAATACATTTACATTAGCATACCCCAAAATAAAATACTTATAGACCTAAAAAATATGTACAAGATCATTATGAAGAAAATAACAAAACTCTGATGAAAGAAATTAAAGAAAAACTACATAAGTGGAGAGAGAGTCTATGTTCATAAATAGAAAGATACAATATTATCACAATATTAGTTCTTCCCCACTTGCTCTATAGATTCAATGAAATCTCTGTTAAAATCCCAGCAAACTATTTTGGGAATATCAACAAACTGATTCTTACGTTTACATGAAGTAGGCAAAATACTTGAAATATACAACACGATATTGAAGGAGAAAAATAAAGTTGGAGGACTGACATTACCCAACCTCAAGACTTATTATAGAACCACAGAAATCAAAATAGAGTGGTATTTGCAAAAGAATAGACAAATTGATCAATAGAACAGAATAAAGACCCCAGAAATAGAACTACAAATATATATATATAGTAAAACTGATCTTTGACAAAGGAGCAAAAGCAATGCAATGAAAAAAAGATACCTTTTTTCAACAAATGGTGCTAGAACAACTGGACATCGAATTACAAAAAAAAAAATTGAATCTAGATACAGACCTCATATCTTTCACAAAAAATGCAAAATGGATCACAGACCAAATGTTAAATGCAAAACTATAAAATTCCTGGAAGATAACATACAAGATAATATAGAACAACTTGAGTTTGGCAATGACTTTTCAGATAAGATGACAAAGGCATGATGTATTTAAAAAAATTGATGAACTTGACTTCATTAAAATTAAAAATCTATGCTCCACAGAAAACAATATAAAGAGAATGAAAAGACAAGCCACAGACTGGGAGAAAATATTTGCAAAATACATATCTGGTTATTATCCAAAATAGACAAATAACCCTTAAAACTCAATATTAGGGAAACAACCCAATTAAAAAACAGAACAAATATCTTAAAAAATACCTCACCAAAGAAGATACACAGATGTCAAATAACTATAGGAATATATGTTCCACATCATATGGCATCAGGGAAAAATGCAGATTAAAACAATGAGATACCACTACACACCTATGAGAATGGCCAAAATCCAGAACACTGACAACATCAAATGCTGACAAGGGTAGGCAGCAGTGGGAACTTTCATTCATTGCTATTGGAAATGAAAAGCAGTACAGCCATTTTGGAAGACAGTTTGGCAGTTTCTTACAAAGCTAAACATACTCTTACCATATGATACAGCAATTGTGCTTCTTGGTATTTACCCAAATAGGTTGAAAACATGTATGCACACAAAAACCTGCACAATGGATGTTTATAGCAGGTTTATTCATAATTGCCAAAACTCAAAGCAACCAAGATGTCCTTCTATAGGTGAGTAAATACACTCTGAACATGCAGGCAATGAAATTTTATTCAGTGCTAAAAAGAAATGGGCTATCAAGCTATCAAGCCATGAAAAGATAAGCAGAAAAATTAAATGTGCATAATTAAATGAAAGAACTCAATTTGAAAAGGTTACATACTGTGTGAGTCCAACTATATAACATTCTGGAAAAAACAAAAATATGGAGACAGTAAAAAGGTCAATAGCTGCTATCTGGGGTTAAGGGGTAGGGAAGGAGGAATAGACAGAGCACAGAGGATTATTATGGCAGTGAAAATATTCCATATGATACTATAATGGTGGACATGTCATTATACATTTATCCAAACCCATAGATTACACAACACTAAAAGTGAACTCTAATTTAAACTATGAATTTTGGACTATAATGATGTATCAGTGTAGGTTAATGAATTGTAACAAATGTATCACTCTGGTAGAGAATGTTGATAATAGAAGGCTATGCCTGTTGAAGAGACAGAAGGTATATGGGACATCTCTGTACCTTCCACTCAATTTTGCTGTGAACCTAAAACTACTCGAAAACATGAAAACTATTAAAATGTTATTAAGCCACATATTTAAGATTTGGGTTCTTGACTGTATGTAAATTATACCTTTAAAAATTAAAATTTTTAAAATCTGGTGGAACATGTACATAGAAAATACTTTGTAATGAGGCCCCCAAAGTGAGAAATTTTTGCAAGAGGAAGATATTAAGAAATAACATTAGGAAACAACCAAACAAAAAACACGATAGTGAATGATGGCAAGGAAATCAATCCATACAATGAAAAGCTGACTCATTTAAAATGCATTTTAAAAAGAATATTAAACTTTACTGCATTTCCAGAAACAGTTTAAATGAAATAATAGAGTCTAAAGAATATATCCTTAAATATAAAAGTATAAATAGCCTGCATATGAAATATTTAGTAGCAGCTCAAAGCATGCTGTTTCCATGGAGAGATAAATAAAACAAGTGTGGGTGAATTTCATGTATTGTAAATTAATTTAGACATAATTAAAGGACTTAGCCTTTGTCTACATAATATCAGAACAACAACTACAGAGAGAAAATTCAAGCAACCTGTTGTTTAGTCTAACTTACATTAAAAATCATATTTTCCTCCCCACAGAATTAAAATATTTATAGTTGTTCTTTAATTACAAAATAATTGAGACTAAGTATTTCCAAGAAATTCTTTTGATAATCTGATGAACCTTCATCCCAGAAAAAGAATCCTATGCCAAATTTTGCATATTAATAATGCAGGGCTTTCATAGAGCCTCTGAAACACACACATATGCCCTACATTAAGAATCTATGGCCGGGCACGGTGGCTCACGCCTGTAATCCCAGCACTTTGGGAGGCCGAGGAGGGCAGATCACGAAGTCAGGAGATCGAGACCATCCTGGCTAACATGGTGAAATCCTGCCTCCACTTAAAAATACAAAAAAATTAGCCAGGCATGGTAGCAGGCGCCTGCAGTCCCAGCTAATCGGGAGGCTGAGGCAGGAGAATGGCGTGAACCCGGGAGGCAGAGCTTGCAGTGAGCTAAGATCAGGCCACTGCACTCCAGCCTAGGCGACAGAGCGAGACTCCGTCTCAAAAAAAAAAAAAAAAAACAATCTATAATATATGTAGCCAATCAATGTAAGATGCCTGATAACTGCAAAAATGTTTTCACAAAACAAACATAATTTTATTATTGTTATTATTATTTTGAGACAGGGTCTTCTCTATCACCCAGGCTGGAGTACAGCGGCACTATATCTGCTCCCCGCAACCTCCACCTCCTGGGCTCCAGAGAGCCTCCTACCTCAGCCTCCTGGGTAGCTGAGACTACAGCTGCAAGCCCCCACACCCAGCTAATTTTTGTATTTTTTGTAGAGACGGGGTTTTGCCACTTTGCCCACGCTGGTCTCAAACTTGGCCTTCCAATGTACTGGGATTCCAGGCATGAGCCACCTCTCCCAGCCACAAAACAAACATAATTATTAATCTAAAAGACATAATTGCGTGGGCCAATTTAACGAAGTAAACATATTTATACTTGAATAGGCATGTAATATCTGCAGTAAATCTGAATAAGACTCGTGTGTTTCTAATGATAAGCTTCCTTTTCTGAATAATTTCTGAAACTATCTTCTATATATCCAGTTTTTCTGTACAGGCATAGCTCAGAGATATTGTAAGTTAGGTTCCTGAATACTAAAATAAAGGGAGTCACATGAATTTTTTTGGTTTCCTAGTGCATATACAAATTATGTTTACACTATACTGTAGTCTATTAAGTGTGCAATACCATTATGTCTAAAAAAGCGACAAACATACTTTGACTTTAAAATGCTTTATTGCTAAAAATGCTAATGATTATCTGAGCCTTCAGCAACTTGTAATCCTTCTGCTGGTGTAGGTTTTGCCTCTGTTGTTGGCTGCTAACTGATCAGAGGGTTGTTGCTGAAGGTTGAGGTAGTTCTGACAATTTCTTGAAACAATAAAGTTTGCCATATTGATTGACCCTTACTTTATGAAAGATTTCTCTCTAACATGCAATGATATTTGATAGCATTTTACCCACAGAGGAACTTCTTTCACAATTGGAGTCAATCCTCTCAAACCCTGCTGCTGCCCTATTATGTAATATCCTAAATCCTTTGTTGTCATTTCAACAACGTTCACACATCTTTACCAGGGGTGGATTCCATCTCAAGAAACCACTTTCTTTGTTCATCCATAAGAATCAACTCCTCATATGTTCAAGTTCTACTGTGAGAGTGCATCTATGTAGTCACATCTTCAGGCCCCACTTCTAACTCTAGTCTTCCTGCTATTTTCACCAGCATCTGCAGTAACTTCCTCCACTAAAATCCTGAAGCCCTCAAAGTTATCTCTGAGAACTGAAATCAATGCCTTCCAAATTTCTGTTAATATTGACATTTTGACCACCTCCCATGAATCGTCAATGTTCTTAATGGCATCTACAATGATGAAACTTTTCCAGAAGGTTTTCTTATTTATTTTTGAAATTATACTTTAAGTTCTAGTGTACATGTGCACAACATGCAGGTTTGTTACATATGTATACATATGCCATGTTGGTGTGCTGCACCCATTAACTCGTCATTTACATTAGGTATATCTCCTAAATCTTTCCCTCCCCCCACCCCACAACAGGCCTCGGTGTGTGATGTTCCCCTTCCTGTGTCCAAGTGTTCTCATTGTTCAATTCCCACGTATGAGTGAGAACACGCAGTGTTTGATTTTTTGTTCTTGGGATAGTTTGCTGTGAATGATGGTTTCCAGCTTCATCCATGTCCCTACAACGGACATGAACTCATCCTTTTTTATGGCCGCACAGTATTCCATGGTGTATATGTGCCACATTTTCTTAATCCAGTCTATCACTGACGGACATTTTGGTTGGTCCCAAGTCTTTGCTATTGTGAATAGTGCCGCAATAACATGTATATTTATTGCGGCTTTATTCCAGAAGGTTTTCAATTTACTTTGCCCATACCCACCAGAGGAATCACTATCTATGGCAGCTGTAGCCTTCCAAAGTGTATTTCTTAAATCATAAGACTTGAAAGTTGAAATAACTCCTTGATCCATGGGCTATATAAATGATGTTATGTTAGCAGGCATGCAAACAACATTTATCTCCTTGTACACCTCCATCAGAGCTCTCGGGTGACCATTTACTTTGTCAAAGAGCACTATTATTTTGAAAGGAATCTCTTTTACTGAGCGGTAAGTCTTAAAGCTTGGCTTAAAATATTCAGTAAACCATGCTGTAAGCAGATGTGCTGTCATCAAGGCTTTGTTGTTCTATTTATAGTAGAGGTAGAATAGATTTAGCATTCTTTTTAAGAACCCAAGGATTTTCAAAATGGTAAACGAAAATTGGTTTCAACTTAAAGTCACCAGCTGCATTAGCTCCTAACAAGAGAAACCATCTTTTGAAGTTTTGACTTCTCCTCTCTAGCTATGAAAGTCCTACCTAGATGGCATCTTCTTCCAATAGAAGGATGTTTCATCCACAATGAAAATATTTTGTTGAGTGTAGCTGTCTTCATTAATTATCTTAGCTAGATCTTCTGGATCTCCTGCAGCTTCTATATCAACACATGCTGCTGGTTTTCTATCATAATAGTGAAAGTATTTATAATCGGCCATCAACATCCATGGGTTCCACATCCAGAGCTTCAACCAACCATAGTCTGAAAATATTTTTTAAAAACCTGTTTCTGTACTGAACATGTACAGACTATTTCCTTGTCATTGTTCCCTAACAATACAACTATTTCCGTAGCATTTAGATTATATTAGATATTATAAATAATCTAGAAATGACTTAAAGTATACAGGAGGATGTGCATAGGTTATATGCAAATACTACACTATTTTACAGCAAGAACTTGAGCATCCGTGGATTTTGGCACCCATGGGAGGCCCTGGAACCAATCTCCCACAGATACCAAGGGACGACAGTACATGCCTCTTGATTATGAATCTATGTCTTGCAAAACTTTTCAAATATAAGAACTCTAACTGAACTTCAAATATGTCCAATGACTTACTGTGCTCAAACACTGATTTTATTCTTTAGAATGTAAACTTCTAAGGATAAAATAAATATGTAAAATCTTTTTTTAAAGATGCCACCAAAGTCCCAACAGCAGAATGCTAAATAAATATTATCTAATAATTATTACATCTTCTGAAATGATAAAAAAAAAACTCATCACCAATTTCTGAAGCCTTCACAGCCAGTCAATTTCATTCTACTCTTCTTTAATGCTGTCTGGCCACATCCAATTTTCTCAGTTCAACTGTATTGCCTCACTATCTTGATTCAATTTACTTTGACCTTTACTGAACTATCTCTAGAGAAACAATGATATGGAATTTCTTTATATTACATTTCAGCTTTACATGTCTTGTGGATTATATTCCACCAAAACATAAAACCAAGACAACTAATAAACCCATAGAATTTACCTTGAAGTCTTTGGTCAGGGTCCACTTTAAGGCATCATAGTCCTCAGGCCCTGGTTGAATCTGTAGCTAACCATTCAAACGAAAGCTGGGGTTTTTTAAAATGATTTTGCTATCTGGTTTCAAATTGCTAGATACTATCCGAACAGAGAGTCATGCTTTTTAAAATACAAACTCTGAGTATATATTGTCATCTAAATAGCAAAGGAGACTGCCAAGGGCAGGGAAGATGATAGAAAGTGATAAAGACATTTCTGTGAAGTGTTATTACCTCTCTTGTAATTTACCATCAAGCCACAGAATGGTCACAAAAAATAAAATTGTCTACAACTGCTTGCAAGCCTTCTTGTAAGAATAGTAGCAACATAGCAGCTCATAATTCCCAGCTAATAATATAAAGATAACATAGCTGATGTGGAACATTTTCTTAGAAGGTAAGAAGTATTTTTCCAATCCAGCTCCTAAACCTTTCATTAAATCACAACCTGTGGCTAAATAAAGGACATTGGAATAACCAGAATTATACTCTGCTTCACTAAACAGAAAGCCATCAAATTTCTCATAGCTATCATAGTCTAACCTAAAGTTATTTATAAGTAACCAAATTTATTTGACAGCAGCCACAAAGCCAGAGCTACTGATAATAATGTTTTACAAAAAAATTTATAAAACAATATATAGATGTCTGATACCTATTCCTCACTTACCTCCACCTTTTCTGAACAAAGCTGCGGCTAATTATCCACAAAGCAGCAAAATATATATAGGACTTGGCCTGTATCTCATCCAAAATGGAGATAAGTAACATACTGAAAGTGTTTATCATAAGAAGTTTTCACTGTTTTCCTTACATACAATGACAATGGAATTGTGTAATTCCTATAATGTTATCTCAATATTCCATTACATTGATTAAATGTTTAGAATGTGTAACCACTGATTACTGTGTTAGTAAACATCTATGTCTCAGTAACTCAGAAGTTTTCATGAACTTCTTTGGAGATGTTTGCCAAAATTACTCTTTGAGGAGCACTTAACAATCAATTTCAGAGTGTTTCAAATTTTTACATGAATTAATTTTGATACGATGGGCTTTTTAAAGCTTTTTTTAATGTACAACAAATATCTATCCATCTAGTCTCCTAAAATGTTTCAGGCACTGAGGTAGATGTTAAATGAAGCTAAATAAAAGACAAAAATTCTTCCCACACTTATGAGAAAATACATATTTTATTTAGGTCCAAAATCTACTACAACTTTAATATATTCAATCTGAGAGTGAGAGCTCAAAAAAAAACAGAGAGGAGAAACATCAGATTGCTATGACATGACTCCTTGAGGAAAAAAAGTATGATGCCAATTGGTAAAAAATAATTAAGTGTAATTATCTTACTTTCTAGGTAGTTCTGACTCTTGAAATGACTCCTGCTCTGAAAAAAAATGAAGATATATAAGCAACACGATTTTGCATTACAGAAGTCTAACTCACAAAGTGTTTCAGTGACCTAATTGAATTACATGGCAAAATAATTTCATATCCTGAGTGTCAGAAAAGACAGGAAATGATGCATAATGCCTAACCATGAATGTAAGGCACTGAGGTGGCTAGAAAAGGTAGTTGCCATTTCATGTAGTTCATTAAGAGTCGGCAAACATGGAAAGATACAACCAATGGATCATTTACTTTATTTAATGCCTAAACACCCTAGAACAAAAATAGACTGTTATAAAATCATTTCTAATAGAAAGCTGACTCATAATTCTATCTCCCAGAGCATTAATTAATATGACAATCACTCTAATGTCAGACAGTGTCTTAGTCAGATAAAGCTGCAATAATATCATAGATTGGGTGGCTTAAACAACAGAAACTTATTTTCTCACATATCTGGAAGTTGAAAGTTACAAGATCAGATGGTAGCATTGTCAGGTTCTAGTGAGGGCACCAGTTCTATCAGACCAGGGCTCCAACATTATGACCTCATTTAACCTTAATCACTTCTTTAAAGTCCTTATCTCCAATACAGTTACATGAAGGGTACGCCTTCAACACATAACTTTTGGGGGCAACACAACTCAGTCCATATCACTTAGAGAATTGGGATCAAGCACTTATCACTGACAGAAAAGAAGCCCAAATAAGCCAAGACCCTGTGAAGTTGCAGATACCAGGATGGAATCACTCATGGCCGGTCTAAACAAATTAGAGCCAGGAAAGCACAAAGGAGGGCAGCTCATGCTCACATGTCTGAGATAAGAACTATCTCAAAAACTTCCTAAAATAACCCCATGAGAAATTCCTTCATGTCCTTAATGCAGCTCATGCTTTTCATGACCTATGTTTTGCATGTATGTACAGATTTCTGTGACAAGGTTTATCACTAGTTATTCTTTAGAACTGCAGCAACACGTATAAGATGCTTTTAAAAGAACACTTGCTTACACCTTATACAAAAATTAACTCAAGATGGATTAAACACTTAAACGTAAGACCTAAAACTACAAAAACCCTAGAAGAAAGCCTAGGCAATACCATTCAGGACATAGGCATGGGCAAGGACTTCCTGACTAAGACACCAAAAGCAATGGCAACAAAAGCTAGAAGTGACAAATGGGATCTAATTAAACTAAAGAGATTCTGTGCAGCAAAAGAAACTGTCATCAGAGTAAACAGGAAACCTACAGAATGGGAGAAAATTTTTGCAATCTATCCATCTGACAAAGGGCTAATATCCACAATCTTCAAAGAACTTCAACAAATTTACAAGAAAAAAGCAACCCCGTCAAAAACTGGGCGAACGATATGAACAGACACTTCTCAAAAGAAGACAGTTATGCAGCCAACAAACATATGAAAAAAATCTCATCATCACTGGTCATTAGAGCAATGCAAATCAAAACCACAATGAGATACCATCTCACACCAGTTAGAATGGTGATCATTAAAAAGTCAGGCAACAACAAATGCTGGTGAGGCTGTGGAGAAATAGGAACACTTTTACACTGTTGGTGGGAGTGTAAATTAGTTCAACCATTGTGGGTGTTCACCCATTCCTCAAGGATCTAGAACCAGAAATACCATTTGACCCAGAAATCCGGTTACTGGGTATACACTCAAAGGATTATAAATCATTCTACTATAAAGACACATGCACACATATGTTTATTGCGGCACTATTCACAATAGCAAAGACTTGGAACCGACCCAAATGCCCATCAATGATAGACTGGATTAAGAAAATGTGGCACAGATACACCATGGAATACTATGCAGCCATAAAAAGGATGAGTTCATGTCCTTTGCAGGGACATGGATGAAGCTGGAAACCAGCATTCTCAGCAAACTAACACAAGAACAGAAAACCAAACACCACATGTCCTCACTCATAGGTGGGAGTTGAACAATGAGAACACATGGACACAGGGAGGGGAAATTCACACATTGGGGCCTGTCAGAGGGTTGGGGACTAGGGGAGGGATAGCATTAGGAGAAATACTTAATATAGATGACAGGTTGATGGGTGCAGCAAACCACCATGGCACGTGTATATCTAAGTAACAAAACTGCACATTCTGCACATGTACCCCAGAACTTAAATTTAAAATAAAAAGACCACTTGCCTAGTAACAGCAGCTCCACTGATGAACTGACACCAACTCCATTTCTGAGCCTCCTGAACCAAAGAACTGTTGTTTCCAAGCAGCTTATATTAACTTCTTTTTGCCAAATAAAAGCTTCCCCTTCCACTCCCCTCTTCAGGTGCACCTATGGCTTGCCATAGTTGTGCCTGAATCCTTTTTTTGCTTACTCCCAAATACATTCATTGTATTAGGAGATATTTTTCTCTGATGTCTTTTTTTAGGGTGACAATTCATTTGTCTGGGATTCTTCTAGCTATGGCTGAGACACAGCAATTCTTTTTTTTAATTTTATTATTATTATACTTTAAGTTTTAGGGTACATGTGCACAATGTGCAGGTTAGTTACATATGTATACATGTGCCATGCTGGTGTGCTGCACCCATTAACTCGTCGTTTAGCATTAGGTATATCTCCTAATGCTATCCCTCCCGCCTCCCGCCACCCCACAACAGTCCCCAGAGTGTGATGTTCCCCTTCCTGTGTCCATGTGTTCTCATTGCTCAATTCCCACCTATGAGTGAGAACATGCGGTGTTTGGTTTTTTGTCCTTGTGATAGTTTACTGAGAATGATGATTTCCAGTTTCATCCATGTCCCTACAAAGGACATGAACTCATCATTTTTTATGGCTGCATAGTATTCCATGGTGTATATGTGCCACATTTTCTTAATCCAGTCTATCATTGTTGGACATTTGGGTTGGTTCCAAGTCTTTGCTATTGTGAATAGTGCCGCAATAAACATATGTGTGCATGGAGACACAGCAATTCTTATCTTTATGCATGTAAGTTTATCCACACAATCTCAAGAAGATATAAATAGAGTTTCAAATCTTTCTGGCAGATTTCTGCAAATGAAAATTACACAATCCAAATACAATAATGAAAGAACTTTATTAGGATTATAACAGAAACTTCAGTGTTAGTAGTATAACACACATCTAAATATTAGTTCATGTACACCAAATGTAGTAAAAATAATTAAAGTCTGGATACTAAAAGCACCATCAAAGAGATATTAGGCAAATGGCATTGGGGTCCCTCATTAAAATCTTAAAAGAGAAAGGAAACGTAGATATTATCAATTTTACTGCTTATCATTAGACCTTTCTTTACTAGGCATGCACTAAACATAGTGAAAAACTCAATTTTTCTCAAATTAATCTATAAATATAACGTAGTCTTAATCAAAATTCTAGTTGAATATTCTGAAGAACTCAACAAACATATGAAATTTATGTAGAATAGAGATCTTTATATAACTAAATTACTTAAAAAGATATATAGGCACAATAATATTTATGTAAATGTGAAATGCATGCAAAATGTTACAAATTTTACAAGGATATACCTATACATAAAGCAGAAAATTGAGTGGGAGTATTGGAGTGAGAGCCGGTGACAAAAAAACAAGTGATAAATAACATATGAATAAAGAAAAAAAGGACTTTGCAGAGAGAGAGGATGATAAAGGGTTTTAAACTGAAGATGTGAGGAATATCATTACTCAATTATCCTATTTAGAGCAACTCTTAAATAAAAAAGTGAATAAAATCAGATTCTTTTTGTAATAAAATAAAAGAACACTTTAACAGCATAACTTATTGACCAAGAGGATATAAATAGGTACGACCAGTTCTTTAGGCACTAAATCAACCAGGGCTGGTCCAGAAATCCTTTGGCAATTACATTTAAAGAAAACAAAAATAAAAATGTAAAAAATAGGCTGGGGTCTGAGCTACCCTACAAAATAGGTCAATGAAATATTTGGGATCATATGTTCCACAAAAAGGCTAGAAGAAGGTGAAGAAATATTTTTGGAATTGCTGTTGTACACAATAATTACTAAAAAGTAAAAGAAGAAAATTTGGGCATGGAAACAAGAAAAGGTCTCAGAACATTTAAATACCAACCAGGAATAGTGCGGAATGAATGAAAGGGATAATTTCCTAATTACAATTACAGAAAAGTTTACATCATCAAACAACAGAACCTTATTATATAAAAGATAATAAGCTATATAATAAATTTTGTGCACTACATTTTAATCAAACTTTTTATTTTGAGATAATTATAAATTCACATGCAGTTAGTTGCAAGAAATAACAGAGATCTTGGATGCCCTTTACTCATTTCTCCAATGGTTACACCTTTAAAAACTGTACTACAACATTGGAAACAATATTGACATTGATAAAATCTATCATCTATCTGATTTTCCTGGTGGTACTCATCTGTGTGTGTGTGTGTGTGTGTGTGTGTGTGTGTGTACGCTTTTCATTCTCTGCAACTTTTTCATATGTGTAGGTTTGCATATCCACCACCATAATCAAGAGACAGAAAAGTTCCCTTACCAAAGAGTCCTGGTGTTGCCCCTTTATAATCACACACCTCCCTGCTTGCTCCTCCCCTTAACCTTAACCCATGGCAACCACTAACCTGTTCTTTTTTTAATTTAAAAAATGTTATATAAATTGAGTCATACAGTATCTAATCTTTCAGGGCTGTCGTTATTCACTCAGCACAATTCTCTACAGATGAATCCAAGTTTTGCATGCATCAATAGCTCCATCCTCTTTATGGCTGAGTAGTATTCCATCTGGATGTAACACAGGCTGTTTAACCATTTACCCAGTTAAGGAAATCTGGGTTGCTTTTGGTTTTTAGCCAATATGAATAAAGCTGTCATGCAAATTCCAGTATAGGTTTTTGTATGATCATAAGTTCTTATTTCTCTGGGCTAATACCTAAGAATGAAATTTCTGGGTCATCTGGTAATTGCCCACAACTTTGTGGGCACATTCATTCCTGGTCTTTGGAAGGTAAATTGGCATAAATTCTTTGAAAATCAAATGAACAGTGTATATTAAGAAACGTAGATATATTCACATCCTTTGAGTCACCAAGTCAACTAAGCTAATAATCAGAAATGCAGGTATGCATTTATGTATAAAAGTTATTCGCTAAAAACATACTTACACTAAAGAATGAAAATATGAATTCCATCAATAAATTTATAATTAAGTTACAGTATATCCTTATGACAAAAATCTGTAGGGCCATAGTAAATAATGTTTTCACGTACATCTGTGGCATGGAAAAAGCTCAAAATATTAGTTTTAAATAAAAAATCCAAAACTATATGTAGTATGATCCCTATTATATTTCAAAATGCATGTAAAGGGCCAAAAATACAACAATATTATAACATCCCCTTGGCTATGTGATTAGGGGCAGATTTAGCATTCTTCTAAATTGTTTATATATATAATAAGTATACTACGCAGCTCTAGGAACATTTTTTTGTAAACAGGAAAAAAGGCATAGAACTTATTTTTAAGGTTTTTAAATTAAAACCAGAATATCTTTGTGAAAACTACTAGTTAGTTCTGGCTCATCCATGACTATGGCTCCACGACAATGTACATGTATCAGAATTCATTCCCCGCTTCTTTCTAGGCACAGGCCTATATTCCTTTTCTCAGTTTCCCTTGCAGTTAGTCTGGATATGTGACTATAAAATGTGAATGGAAATTATGCATACTGTTCTCAGGTCTCCACTCTTTGTATCTTCTTACATTGGCCGAAATGACTTAGACCCACGAAGTCATACATCAGCCTTGGTCCCTTACAGACCCCCATCATCCCAATTTGAAACATTGGCTGGGAACTATTTCCTGAGAAAGACTTCAACTTTGCTTGTGCTAGTACATGTTGATTATATTTGTTACAGGAATGTAACCTACCCTAGCTAACATAATGACTCTGAGAGAAGGAGACTTAACACTTGCACCAAAACCAGTCCGCTGAATGTATGGGCAGTTATCTGATTGTGCCCTTAGTTGTCCATGAAAACTAACATTTCCTCCAGGGCTCCACTGTTAAGATGAAGACATACATTCTAGCACATAGTTGAAGTTCAGTAAGTATGTATTAAAGGAAGAAAGAGAGGGAGGAAGGAAGGGAAGGAATAAAGGGGAGAAGAGGAACCTGAAGAAGAAAAACAAACTCTTAGGAAAAATGGGTAACATACTGAATACAAGCTGTACAATTTAATGTTTTTACCTAGAGCTAACCTCACTATATATAAAAATGCATTAAAAATGTTTAAAGTTCCCACAATAGCCACTTCTACTGAAGACTACTAGAAAACTGAGCCCAAAGTAAGAGAAAATTCTTGATGATCCAGGAACACGGAAAACAAAAACTATGTGAAAGCCACACCTCATGTTAAACCCACTTTAATCATTTTGTTTACACTCTTTAGCAAAATACGATCAGTAATAAAATTAACTAATTTGTATTGAAGGCTCTCCTTCTTCCCCGCTTCTTCCTCTGAGAAGATAACAATTAGCAAAGAAATAAACAATAAACAGAAGCAGCAGAAGTTAAAGCACAGGATTTAGGTAATCCTTAAATTCGACAATTATCCTTTAAATGCCCAAAGGTTGATTTTGCATGTAAATTACAATTTTAAAATCCCAAGAGATATAAGGCCTGAGAGTTTCACAAAATGATACTAAGTTGTATGCACAGCACCTAATATTTTTGTTCTACTATCAAGAAGGAAGAACCTTATTTTTGTGTGTGCACAAACATGAACAATGCTTTGGAAATACATGCTTTTTAAAGTCCTTTTTAAAGCAAACTATTGAAAACTATACATAAATATATCAAATTTGTATTTATCTTGAGAATTTAGAAGTTTCTAAAATAAAATTCAAAGTTATGGTACATATTTAGATTATATTTTTGATGGCAAAACAACCAAATACTCTAATATTTCTGGTATTCCAATTAATCACTTGCATCCAATTGTTTGCTCTAATTTTTGAATCCATATAGAATATTTGGAAGAACTAATATGTTTATTGCTAATAATTAGTCTGAGTAGAAATCCAAAACTGCAGGAAATCTGTACTCCATTGCCACATTCCTCCAACAAACTAGCTGCTAAAAGAAAATAAAAATCAATATAAGTTTTATATTGAAAATCACCTGAACTCTTTCTCTATATTCTATAGCTCATATTAACTCACTGGTTCTTACTAATTCATACCTAAATTTCATATCAACTCCCATCTTTTTTTTTAACCAGTTCTCAATGCAAATCCATCCTCAAAAATATAAGATTAAATTGTCTCAAATACAATACACATTACAACTTAGAATTCTGCCTGCCACTTAAAAAATATTTCAAAATACTTGTTGAGCCATTTACTATTTCATGGATCTTTCCAGCATTTTTCAAACAAATCTATGGAGAAAAGGCCAAAATTCCATCTGAACCCAAACCTTTTCCTCTGTCCTATATAAGCATTCTCTTGTTTAAAAAAATATGTTCTCCCCAGAACCAAATAAAGTGCTACGAGGTTCAGGGGTTAGTATAAATCTCTATTCTGTAGTATCTTCCATCTACAGACACTCACGACTAAATTTTCCTTTTAAATTTGAGAAAACTGCAGTGGGGTGAGGTTTAACTGTGCAGTTCTCTATATTCAATCATTATGAAGGCTTGAGAATAAGCTTGGCACAATCCTGTCAATGAAATAGATGAAATGATTTCTCTATGCCCTAACAGCACTTGGATGCTATAATAATGAAAATAAAATATCAACCTATAAAGAAAAAAGAACAGTGCTGTATAAAAAGAAAATTGTTAACTGTGCCCTTTAATGAAACCTTCTGTTTCTCTATTTGACTAAAGTTCTGTCTACACAGCATAAGAACAATCAGCTCATCAGTGAAAACTATTGTTAGCCAAGTAGGAGTTTGATCTGCCTGCTTCCAAAAAACCTATACTGATTTCTACCACTGATTCTCTCATAAAAATTAAATATTTTGTATCAAACAAACACAAACTATTTGCCTTCAGCAAACACACTGTGGTGATATTTTCCAAACCTAGGAAAACATGTTGGTTTTAGACACAGTACCAGCATTCTATACACAGTTACAAATGTAAGTTGATGTTTTGCTTATGTTGTGGAATTTTTTTCAAAAGATATATATATATATATATAAAAGCAATCAAATATTTTAACACAATTTGTACTAATCTATGAAACACACAAACACATTGTCTTAGTTCGCTTGCACTGCTATAAAGGAATGCCTGAAGCTAGACAATTTATAAAGAAAAGAGATTTATTTGGCTCATGATTGTGCAAGCTGTACACAAAGCATGGCACCAGCATCAGCATCTGGTGAGAGCCTCAGGCTACTTCTGCCATTAGTGGAAAGGAGAACTGCCATGTGCAGTGATCACATGATGAGAATAGAAGTGACAGAGAGGGGGAAGATGCCTGCCTCTCTTTAACAACCAGTTATTATGGGAACTAATACAGTGAGAACTCACTCATCACCATGAGGAAAGCACCAAGCTGGTCAGTCATGAAGGATCCAACGCCAGGACCCAAACACCTCCCACTAAGCCCCATCTCCCAGCACTGCCACACTGGGGATTAAATTTCAACATAGGATTTGGAAGGGTCAAACAAACCATATTCAAACTATAGCACACATAGACATCAAAGTACAGCTCTTCAAAATACAAATCCAGTACCTAAATGAGGCTAGACAGATGTAGACCTAATGTGCTATGTAAATTTATAAGCATGACTTGCTTCATCTCAACATTAAAGTTAAAATACTCAAGACTATCCCACTAAATTATTCTTAATTAAATGCCAAAGAGATTTCCTATAGGGGAAAATACCTTATGCTTGAAGGCCAAAGTGTTCCTTAGCCACAACATAGAAAAAGTACTAAATGTTAATCGGCAACCATCAAGCATAACCTGGCTAAAGACTGAAAGAGTGCTAATGTTTGTTGGGTCATTGATTTCAATCAGGTAATGAAAAAGCAAAAAAAAAAAAAAAAAGAAAGAAAGAAAGAAAAAGAAAGAGAGAGAGAGAGGGAGGGAGGCAGGGAGGGAAGGAGAAAAGAGAGAGAGGGCCAGTGAGACAGAAAGCAAAATCTATTTGTAGGGGAGACAGGCAAGTAAAACAAGCAACTGTGTAGTAAGTATATTACACTGAATACTATGGGAGCATATACTAGGGGGTCTTAACATACATGAAGATATCAGTATCTATACAGATTTTCACTGAGTGACATGCCCTTGAACTTAATGGGTCACACTATCCTTCATTTACTCCCACCAAATATCCATTTATAGTGCCACTCCTAATGTACATAATTAATGTGAAAGTGACCCTACTTTATAAGTTTTTTATGCAGACAAACAAAATTCAGCTACTGAATTACTCTGATGCCATCAACAAATGGTGATAACAGCCAAGTAGGCAGATGTTTAGTTACCTTAACATGTTGTAAACAGGCTTCACTTGGCTTGGTGTTTCTATGTTTGATTTTGAGGTATTTTAAGAATGTCACTAGCCATGCTACGTCCAGTAAGTACAAATACAACAAATACAACATTAAAAAGAGAAATAATTACAAAGAAAATTAAATAAAAATAAAAATAATAATCACAAGGAAATAATTACAAGGAAAATTAAATAAATATATTAAAAATTGAAAATCTGAGAAGAGAAATAATTACAAGAGAAAATAAATAAAGATAATATTTTAAAAATTGAAAATATGAGAAGAGTAAAAATGTTTCATGGGTATTTGGAATTTTGCAACAGTATAAAGTATTTTGAAAGACAAAGAGTAAGTCACAAAGGGACTTCTAGTTTCAGCTCTAACATGTGAAGACCTTGTAAGTTGTCACTCCATCTTCCAACAAGAAAAAAAGATGAACAAACAGAAAATCAACAACTTTTCTTGGATCAGACAATGCAAGCAAGAACAGAGTGGGCTGAAACATTTTATGTTGAAATTTAAAAAAACGCCAACCTAGAATTGTATGTACAGCAATCCTGCAAAAGTAAAGAAGAAATAAAGACTTTTTCAGACAAACAAAAGCAGGAAACTCACTGCTAGCAGACCTGCCCTGCAGGAAATGTTTAAAAAAGTTCTTCAGGAAGAAGAAAAATTATACAGATCAGAAACTTGGATCTTTTTGAAGAAAGAAAGAGAGTTGGAGAAAGAATGAAGGTAAAATAAAATATTGTATTTTCCTTGTTCTTAACTGACTTGATAGACAACTTTATTAAAAGTAATAATAGTAACAATGTATTGCCTGAATATAGCCTGTGGATCAAAGCATATGGATAAGTGACAAGAATGGCAGCAACCTTATAGGGGACAGGGAGGGAGGGATTGGGCATACTCTGTTACAAGGTATCTGTACTACCGACGAGGCAATACAGTGTCATTTGAAAGTGAATTTAGATTAGTTGGAAATATGGGTTGAAAAATCTAGGGCAACCACTAAAAAACGACAACACATGTAAAAGTGCCACATTGTGCAACTGACAGTCTATCAGCAGGAGATAAAAAAACATTTTGTAAAATGTGGCTAGAACATTGCCTAATTTTAATCCTGGGCAAGGTAAAAAGTTTATTCAAGAACATGAAGGAAACATGGTGATTATCTCGCTGTAAATTCAGTAGTCACTGAAGCATTTCTAAGTTACTTACAGAGATCATAGAAAAAGGGTGCTTCTTCGTTCAACCCAATTTTAATATAAATGAGCCACGTAAACCAAGTGAAAAAGAACTATGTCTGATTTTAAGATTTCACACTATTTGTGCATTTTAAATCTCATAACTGCTTGTTGGAAAGGCATTTGAGCATTACAAGCTGAAACCCCTTAAGCCACTTTGGATTTAAGAACAACTGAAAAACAGCCTTCTGGGACCTAACCTGAAATAGAGGAGCTTCTATATACACAACATTTTTATCTGTCATGGTTACTGCCACTCTCACTGTAAAGAAAAGAAAAAAAAAATCCATGAAGGGGAACAAGGGAAAGTAAGGGGATAAGATACATAAAGGACATGATCAAAATGCACTAACATCAGCACACTAATTTGTGACTCTGATTATAAAGACAGCTTTCTAAACACTAGTCCTACAAAGTATTCCTTTGATTAAACATAAAAAGACAAAAGATTTAGTTGACAATTTAGTCATAAGCATAAAGTACTTTTTGGTTAAATAGTAAGACTACTTTGAGAATCATAAATGACAACAGCTGTTATATCAATCCTGTCTATTAGTTGTTCAGGGAAAAATCAAAGATTTATTTAGCAAAAATCCAAAATTTTCATGGGTTGCAGATTATCAGTCTATCAGTCTATATATGTAAAACAAATGTTATAAATTACTGACTCTCTCTAATCCACATTGATAAAATCATACCTATCTCATTTGGTTGTTGAGAGTATTAAATATAAGTAAGAAATCAAAGCAGGTAGCCCTGGGCCTGGATCGTAGTACAGACTCTCAAATATCAGCAGTTATAAATATGGAAGAGATTTCAAGATATCCTTCATGTTCCTGCTTAAAGATTGTGCTTAAACCAGGTGAGCCATATTTTAACTAGAGTGAAATGCAGTTTTGAAGTACACATGAACATAGATATATATGTATTTTTTTAGATAAAGGTAGTATACCAAAATTTACATCAAAGAAGAATAAGTAGCCAATTAGCGTAGCAGGGTTCTGTCATGTTTTTATCTACTGCTAAGTAAACTGACTCGTTGGTTCAGTCCAGATATATCTTGATTACTGACATCATCACAGGAAAACCTGGGCTGAGTCTGCTCTTTCATATGAAAGACAACTTACATAAAATTTATAAACACTTGCAGAAATAAAACATTATCATGATATAAAAAATTAGAATGTACAAACTAGAAATTGCAGAATTGAATACCAATCATTCCTAAATTAATTTTTAAAACATTTAATGAGAATCTATTATGTAATTAAAATGTTGTTCTAGGAGCTAACTGGGAATACAAGATGAAAAACAAAATAAGCAATTAGGCCCATGCCTTCATGTCACTAACATCTTAGTGAGGACACAAGACAATAAAGAAACAAATCATTACAGATAGTAGTGTTATAAAGAAAATAAACAGAGCACTGAGACTGGGCTACTTCTATTTCACATAGAGCAAGAGAAATGCCCCTCTGAGGAGTTGATATTTAAGCTAAAATCTGAGCACTATGAAGCCATTTAAAAAGTTAGGGAAAGAGCATTTCAGACGAAACAAGCAGCATATTCAAAGGCCCTGTGGCAACCAGAAGGAGCTTAGCATATTAGGAAAAGATGCAAGATTGGGGCAGCTGGATGAGACTGCTTATGGTACAGAGTGACAAGACAAGGGGTTGGAGGTAAACAGCAGCCAGATAGATCAGGCAATGCTCTTAGAAATTAGCAAAGCCATCCCATTACTGGGTATATACCCAAAGGATTATAAATCATGCTGCTATAAAGACATATGCACATGTATGTTTATTGTGACACTATTCACAATAGCAAAGACTTGGAACCAACCCAAATGCCCAACAATGATAGACTGGATTAAGAAAATGTGGCACATATACACCATGGAATACTATGCAGCCATAAAAAAGGATGAGTTCATGTCCTTTGTAGGGACGTGGATGAAGCTGGAAACCATCATTCTCAGTAAACTATCACAAGGACAAAAAACCAAACACCGCATGTTCTCACTCATAGGTGGGAATTGAACAATGAGAACACATGGACACAGGAAGGGGAGCATCACACACCGGGGCCTGTTGTGGGGTGGGGGGAGGGGGGAGGGATGGCACTGGGAGATATACCTAATGTTAAATGATGAGTTAATGGGTGTAGCGCACCAACAAGGCACATGTATACATATGTAACTAACCTACACGTTGTGCACAGGTACCCTAAAACTTAAAGTATAAAAAAAAAAAAAAGAAATTAGCAAAGCCCAACAAGGAGAAGTGGGTACCATGGGCAGACAATAATGTGATTCCTCTTCAAATTTAAATTCTCATAAAATAATTTAAACATTCTTTAAGCATTTAGTAGGAACTACTGCTCTGGGTAGAACAGAGAAGGAGAACGAAGGGTATAACGCCCCTGTTTGCATGCCCAGCTCTGCAAAACATGCCTGCAGTTCACTAGTTCTCCTTGGGGGGCACTGTAAGGACTATCTGTTATGATGGAGCACACCACAGATTTACTTGCAACCACCTGTGTTCTCTCCTTGAAAAAAAATTGTGGTAAATGCAATTTTCTCTATTTATTACATTTGCAGTGACACTGCAGAGCCCCACATTGAATGCAGCACTTGGCAACTGTCCAATTTGCCTTCCCTTTAATTCTGCTCTTTGAAAGCAAATATTTTACCCAACACACCATTTTTTAAAAAATCCTACTCTTAAACAATGCATAATTCTACATATTTACTTGTAAGGAGACAACAGAACTCAAATTTGTTTGCATATTCTTCCTCGCCATGGACATCAGACATACATAAACACACACAAATTCTCTCTTCCACACGTGCACACACATCACACATAGACATTACACACACAGAGACATTACACATGTCACATTAATTTCAAATTCACAAAAAAAGAAAGGAAATTTTCAAAATTTATTGGTGACAAGACCTGTGAATCTATTAGATCACTTACCCAGGCAAACAACTAAAGACAGAAAAGATTTATTGTGCACACTTCATCTCATGACAAGTAAAAAAGGTTAACAGCTTTTTATCTTTCTTTCCAGTCAATGAATTACAAGGTAGTTACCCACTCAAGTGTACAATGTACCTAGCATTTCAAATAATCAATATTAGAAAGCCAATAAAATCTTGATTTATCATCTTCTGGGATATACAACTTCAAAGTGGGCAACATCTTTAAAAATCTGATATTTAACCTAAATTCGATACTGCCCAGGTATATAGCCAAATAATTATTGTCTGTGTATTTCATCTTTAATACCAGACTATAATTACATTCATTTATTATCTATTTATTGAATTCCTATATGCAAAACATTTTAGAAGACACTAGGTACATATTGGTGGATAAAGGAGGCATTGTCTCTGCCTGCATGGATCTTTCAGTCAAATCACCGGACAAAAAACAAGCGTGATTATATATTGTTATGTTTGCTCATGTTTTTTGTCCAATGCTCATGTTCAAAAACATGAAGAAACATAAGAATATATAATCACAAATTGGCATACGTTGGTCAAAGGCTACAAACTTTTTCAGTTTTAAGATGAATAAGTTCTAAGAATCTAATATACAGCATGATGACTATAGTTAACAATACTGTATTGTACACTGACATTTGCTAAAAGAGTAGATTTTAGATGTTACCATAATAACAAAAAAAGGTATCTTGGTGAGGTGATAGATGTGTTAACTAATTTAATTGTGATAATCATTTCATAATATATCCATATATCAAATCATCACATCATACACCTTAAATTTATATAATTTTATTCATCAATTATACCTCAATCAAGCTGGAAAAAAATTGGCATAGTGCAATGTGGAAAACTAACAATAGACAATAAAGGCATGTGGACTCCCCAGGTGAAGTGGTCAAGGAAGGAAATCAAATATCAGTTGAGATCTGAAGGACAAAAATTAAGTTAGTGATGCTAAAAAGAGGTAGAAGAGTATTTTAGGAATCAAGAACAGTATATGCAAAATCCCTGAAGTAGAAAAAAGGTTTACATATCTGAGGAAATAAAAGGAAAATAGAGTGGCTAGAACAGTGTGAAGAGAAGAGAATAACATGAGTTCACACTACAGAGAAGCCACATTTCATTTCTTAAAATCTGAGCTTACTCTTCATGGAGTTTATCTACCAAAAGTAAGTGAGTTAGATGTTACCTCCACTGCTTTACTCACAAGGACAACTGTGAAGATGTCCAAGAAAACATGTTAAAGCACTTTAAAAATTGAGATGCGCTAAACCACAGTTCAAAAAATTACAGGTTGACTCATTGGGCAATAGATAAACTAGCTAATACCTAACCTCAAAAATCTCTGACATATAATTACATTTGTTATAAAGCTTAGAAACAAGTAAAAGTAAACAAATGTATTTACAGATATATACATTAGGGGAACGCCATTAAAAAAAACCACACACACACGCACACACCAGGGCAATAACACCAAACCGAGAATGGTTATTTCAGTGGATGGAGCAGTGCAGAACTGGGAAGAAAGTGAAGAAAGTGGATGCAGGGAGTTCCCCAGTATAAAATTGGGAATATTTTAACTGTTACATTAGGCAGTGGATTCACAGGTTATTACGTTATTTATGCTTCATAACTTACATTTATATTACATATCGATTATACTCTTTTGTCTGTATAAAATATTACTTAGTAAAAGATAAAAAGAAAAACTTCTAATGGCTTTTGTCATTAAGTATTAAATCACATTCCACCAACTCAAAATTTATAATACATTAACATGGGTGGAGTGTAAATTTATTAAGCATTGAAAGTGTAAACATGATTATGATTTGAGGGAAATTTTAATCTATTAAAAGAAACTGAACCATGTTTAATGGATTAAACATTTCCATTTGTTTAAACATTTCCATTTGTTTATCATTCAGATCTTATAATTACAAATGACACTTAAATAGACACTAAAGCAACCCCTGTAAGCTGCTTCTTATTACCATTTTGTTAGAAGCTCAAGTAAACAGCAGAAAATTAAGTTGTTGGTTTCTTTCACAGTACTGAATAAAGTCGATCGCAGTAACAAAATCATATTTCCTTTTTAAAAATCTATACTTCACGGGTTTCTTTTATTCTAACTGTCCTTATAATAATTACTCTCAAATAATGGTAATGCAGTAGCTACTGGAAAGCAATGACATTCTAGTAATAAAAAGCAATGGAGTCTCTGCTTTCTCTGAAATTGTCTCATTCAGAATCCTATGATGAACCTCATTTTGATTTTTCTTTTTATATTTTATAATCAACTCAATATTTGCAACATGAACTAAAGCCAGTGAAAATATTAGGGTGTATAAGGTCAACTGTTACATACTCTGCCTTACTCAATCCATGTGCAATGTAATATAATTATATGATACCCTGGGAAAAGCCAAAAACAGGGCATGGAAGTCACCTATTTTTAAAACTTGTTTATGGATTTCTCATTATTATTTCCATAGTCACTGAATTCAATTCCCATATCCTGAAATGCTCCAAGACCAGAACTTGCAGCATCACTTCTCTTACTGGACCTGACTAGAAAAATCCCTCAGCTGTTTCCACACTTCTAACCAACTAGAGCATTCTAAGATGTCCTTTCTGCATATTCCCAGGGATCCATGCCAGACATGTGATCTTAAGACAAAATGTGGTCCAAAAAAGGCTTCAAAAATGATTAAAGGACTAAAACAATTCTAGTTTAAAAAAAAACTGCTACTCTTTTACTAAAAATGTGCTTTAAATAAATCTTTTAGAACTCTTCCTTGACCCATTATGACCATACCATTCTCCTAGTCCCAGTTTCCTTCTCCAATTCCTTCACAAAGAACCAATTGTCCACTCATCGATGGCCCCACAACACAATAGTCAAACTTCAATTTTCTTGTCTGTAAAATGGCGATAGTAATTTTACCCCCTAGGGCTGTTGGAAAGAGTAAATAAAACTGTGTCTATAAAATGCTTATTCCAAGGCCTTGCTCATTGTAAACACTTGGTAAAGCAAGCAAACAAGCAAAAAAACAAACAAACCCCTTCCATTTTAGGGGTTACCACAATGTGTTTGCTTTTGCCTTCCACTTGAGTGAAAGCCCATTAACAACATGTGTTGTATTCATCTTCATATCTCTAACATCTGGCACAACACAGTGACTAGTACAAAGTAGGCTCTTGGGAATTAATAAAATTACTGAATTTACTAAGACAGTCACTCATTTCTTTGTCTAAGTAAAATGTTAACATAAAGTGCACATCAGCTCAACCCCCAAAAAGCATTTATTCTATACAATTTGAAAAAGTGATGAACTTTTAACACTTGTACAATTAGCTTTTTGCCTAGGTTGCTTTCCTCATGAAATTGATTCTAAGTGAGATATCAGCAGACGAGGGTGCTAGCACCACAGCATATGGGAAATCAGACAACATTTGTCTCTCTGTTTCTTCAACTATAAAGTGTGGATGACAAATACCTGCCCTTTTACTTTAAAATGTTAAGGTGAAAGAAGACTTTGAATTGAGGATTATAAATGAAATATTTTTATATGTGCCCTCCAAACATAGGATAAAGTCTTTGTTTCTTAATTCAACAATTGAATGTCTACCTTATGCCAGGCACTGTACTGGGTGCTAAAGAAACACAGATGGATAGGATATAATTCATGTCCTTAAGAAACTCACAATTTAATAAAAGACAGACACAGAAACAAATATATATGTATATATTCAACTATATATTTGTATATAAATACATATATTTGTTTATATGCCTCTCTTATTAAATTGTGAGTACACACACACACGAACATATATATATATATATGTTTTTAAAAAATCTATACTTCATGGGTTTCTTTTATTCAAATTGTCCTTATTATAATTACTCTCAAATAATGGTAATTCAGTGCTTTGTTAACTACATATATATATATATATATATATATATATATATATATATATATATATATATATATGTACTCACAATTTAATAAATATATGAGTGGTTAATTTAAATATATATGAGTAGTTAATGATAAGAGATTCCTTTAGGACTGGAAATCTGTCATTTCACATGTATACTCCCAATGTGCTTGCAATGGAATAAACGTTCAAAAATGGTCTTGAACTGAACCCTGACTGAATATACACAGGCGACAGTGGCAACGAAAGAAGATAAAGGAAGGTGACTAGGGACTCGAGGTCAAAATTCGGACTACCTGTTGTAGAAACATACTAGAAAATGAAAAGGAAATATAATAACATTGAATTGCTATGTTATGGGCAATGACTGAAATTGGACTAATAGCCAAAACTGGGGACCCACTAGGAAATGATTTCATTAGGGTTTTCTTTGCAATTTATGCCAGGCAGATTATAATGACAAGTATATTGGAGAAATATTGTTTAAGTAATCAGATTATTTTATGTTAACAGTGAACATTTAAATGTAATCACTAATTAATGGATGAATAATTGTATCGAATATAATACCTTACATAAGCAGTGCCCTTTAAAATGCTATCACATGTATTCTCCTAGTTTGGCCTTAACAACAAAACAGAATAAATTACAAAATCCTTAGATCGCTCGCTTAGCAAACATTTCCTAAACACTTGCTGTATGCAAAGACAATGGCTAAATGTCAGGGATAAAATAATGAACAAAACTCTACATGTCTGACTGAAAAACATGAAAGATGAAAACAACACATAAATGTGTCCTACATGTGACTGGCCTAGGTGAACTCCAAGGACTCCTTTGCAAGGCCCACAATCACACATCCCCGTAAACATGCCATTGTCAATATGACATTATGTACAAGTTTAATGCAATATTGCAGCAATTTTTTTTAAAACATATGACAAAAAGGTACATTAGGAGAAAGATTTTTTTTAATTTTTACTTTAGCAAATATTGACATATAAAAGGGGGATGGTAACAATATATGAAAACTATATTGAAGAAAATAGGGAGTAGAATAATAGACTACACTATAAATTTATTCTGGATGAGGAGACAGAACAGGTTATAAAATAAAATAAAAGCCTTATGAGACAAAGGTTGAGAAGTTTTAAAGTATTAAACTAATCTGGAACCTGAAAGAACTACCATATATCAGAGGAAATTTTCGTGGGGTAAAAACTGACAGGTTTTCCCAAGACCATTTGTAAAATAAAACTAAAATGACAAAGATAAGTCTTGCCATCCATCTATTGAGATAAACCAAAATTATAAGAATAAAATATATATTCTTAAATCTTTGACGAATGTTACATAAAGCAATCAAGATGATATTAGGAATTTTCTTATTTGATTTTAGAATAGGTGGTAGGAAGGAAACTTATTTCAATTTTCCAGAAGCAGTACACATATGTTTTGTCATAACATTTTTAAAAATTACAAATTGTCAGTAGTATAATCTACTGGCAATTACTATAATCTACACTTGTGTCCATAGGACAAGCAAAATAATTACTTAAATGTAACATTTTTTAATTCAGCTTATCTCAAAGGAAGAACATTACAAGCTCACACTGATTATAGTTCAATGGACAACTTCTTTATACCTTCTGCATTAATCATGATCTCTACATATATTTATATCTCATTCCCAAAATTGATCCTAGACTCCATAAAAATAAGAACTTTATACAGAGCCTATCATAATACTTTTTTGCAATAAATGTTGTGTGATATTCTTTCAGAAGAATACACTAGTGAAGTTTATTTCAGGCCACGCATTGTGGCACAGGCTCTATCTAGAGCCTGACCATTTGGGTCCAATATTGTCCTTGGCATGTACTAGCTATATAACCTTAGAAAAGTTTTCTTAATCTCTTTGTATTTCAGTTTCCTCATCCAAGAAGTAGGCCTTAGTATGTCTCTACCTCACATATTTGCAACGGGAGTCAAATAAGATAATACATATAAAATGTTTACAAGAGGGCCTGCTACTAAGCACTCAACAAATACACATCATCGCCCAGCTTGGTGGCTCATGTCTGTAATCCCAGCACTTTGGGAGGTCGAGGAGGGTGGATCGCTTGAGCCCAGAGGTTCAAGACCAGCCTGGCCAACATGGTGAAACCCCATCTCTACAAAAAATACAAAAATTAGCTGGGCATGGTGGTGCGTACCTGTAGTTGCAGCTACTGAGGAGCCTGAGGTGGGAGAAATCACCTGAGGCTGGGGAGGTCGAGGCTGCAGTGAGCCAAGATTACTCCACTGCACTCCAGCCTGGGTGACAGAGCAAGATCCTGTCTCAAAAAAACAAAACAAAACAAAACCATGTATCATCATCATCACCTTAATAATCATAATCTTTGAAAGGGTAGGAAGAAACTATTATGCTTATCAGGTTAATTTGCATTCCATACTTATCAAAGTCCATTAAAATCCTGAAAAAGTTTTCAAAAGAGAGAGAGAGAGACAGAGAGAAAGAAAGACAGAGAGAGAGGAGAAAGAGAGAGAGAGATTTCAACCAGAAACTGAAAGCCACTAACTTTAAAGAAAAATCATATTACTTTTAAACTTTGATAAACTGTATCAATTATTCAGAATAACTGCTGTAATAAAACATTGTTTTATATTTGCACTGGTAGAATTTTAGAGCACATTCTTCTGTCTCTTACTGCCTGTGAGTTTTATACCAAGAGGTATGAAATCTGTTTTAAATTATCCTCAGTTATGAAAGGGTAAATGATGTCATAGATTCTGGGCCTCCAATTCAAGTTAAATAAAAATAGATTTTTAAGTGTTTTGATTAATTCTAGTAGAAACATAAGTGGAATAAATACTTAGATGATCATTTTTACCCTAATTTTTGGCAAGACAAATACAATGATTTTTGACATTTTATACTAAAAATAAAGAAATATATTGTCTACATTATAATACATAATAGTTTATAAATAAGTTAACGGTTGGTCTGATAAGCAATCTTGAGACTCCACGCTATCAACACTCAAAAGCTTCTTCCCAGTCATAAAGTGTGCTTTTGAAAAATACAACTGAAACTTACAATATGCTAAAAATAGTGTCTTAGTCAATTCACCTATGCCATTCCAAGAAAAATCAATCCAAACATTAAATGCAAACAATGACAAAGGAGATAGACAAAATTGGGGAATGAAATGTCTTAAATAAAATAAATGTAGAATTTTGAAATAAACCATTCGTTCTGGTGATAGCAATCTCTGATTAGGGTAAGGGGTAAAGGAAATATAATTGAAAATTAACCCAGGAAGCCCTCTCACCTATGATAGTATGATCTGTAAAAGTAAATAGAGTGTAAGTATAATGAGTCAAGAATTAACAAGTGTAAAGATAGGAAATAATACTTCAGTCCATTTTTATACACATAATAACAAAAACATCTAGAAATTTATCAGACTAGGCTGGGCGCAGTGGTTCACGTCTATAATCATAGCAATTTGAGAGGCCAAGGTGGGCGAATCACTTGAGGCCAGGAGTTCTAGACCAGCCTGGCCAGCATGGCAAAACCCTGTATTCACTACTACTACTAATAACAATAATAATACAAAATTTAGCTGGGCCTAGGGGTGCACACCTGTAGTCCCAGCTACCCGGGAGGCTGAGGCACGAGAATTGCTTGAACCTGAGAGGTATAGGCTGAAGTAAGCCAGGATCAAACCACTGCACTCCAGCCTGGGTGACAGAGTGAGACTCTATCTCTGTCTCAAAAAAAAAAAAAAAAAGAAATTTATGAGACCATTTTTCCACCTTCAGGAAAGATGAGGTCAGAGCCTTGCTCAGATTATAGAGAACAGTTCATACCAGACCCACTGAATCATCTCTTCCCCTTAGAATTATCAAATTAGTAGTTAAGGGAAACATAGCAGATAGACATACACTCTATATTTAGACTTAAAGAAGGCTCCGAACACATTTTTTAAATTAATTAATTTAAATTGTTATATGATAGTGGTGAGAAGCAGCCCCATAAACCGAGTATCGGCAGTGCCCCGGAGGTCACACTGTAAAACAATGGTTCACTCGAAAGAAATGTCTGGGGAAAACTAAAGTGATCAAACCATATATAAAGTTTCCAAAATCATGTTATTTAAGGAAAATCAAACACAGTTTTATAGTGTCCAATGATCCCCATCAGGAACAGCACAATAATCTTTTTTCTCTATTTTCTCTATTTTTAAACTTGAATCTTCACCACTAAATAACAGAAGGGAATGGACAATTGTGCATTCTCTTCTGTAATTCAGTGGTGAAGATTCAAGTTTAAAAATCGTATCTACTTAAAAACAAAAAAAAAATTAACAGGGTAAAATGTAAAATCTTTGAAATACATAATCCCATAAAATCAAGATTAGAGGCCGGGTGCAGTGGCTCACACCTGTAATCCCAGCACTTTGGGAGGCCAAGGTGGGTGGATCACACAGTTAGGAGATCGAGACCATCCTGGTGAACACGGTGAAACCCTGTCTCTACTAAAAATACAAAAAGTTGGCCAGGCGTGGTGGCGGGCGCCTGTAGTCCCAGCTACTCGGGAGGTTGAGGCAGGAGAATGGCACGAACCCGGGGGGCGGAGCTTGCAGTGAGCAGAGATCGCGCTACTGCACTCCAGCCTGGGCAACAGAGCGAGACTCCGTCTCAAAAAAAAAATCAAGATTATAGAGAAACAAGCAAGAGAACTATAAATAATTTATTAGGTACTATTTATTTCTATAAACTGGGGGGATAAGAACACAAACTTCACAAAATTTTCTTTTTGAGTTGACATAGAATGTAAACATTGTACATAAAATAATATATATTATTTCACAGAATAATAAACTCTTGTATGGAATAAGTCTTTTTTTTTTGAGTCAGAGTCTCGCTCTGTCACCCAGGCTGGAGTGCAGTGGTGCCATCTCGGCTCACTGCAAGCTCCACCTTCCGGGTTCACGCCATTCTCCTGCCTCAACGTCCTGAGTAGCCGGGACTACAGGCGCCCACCACCACGCCCGGCTAATTTTTTTTTTAAATATATTTTTAGTAGACACGGGGTTTCACCATGTTAGCCAGGATGGTCTTGATCTCCTGACCTGGTGATCCACCTGCCTCAGCCTCCCAAAGTGCTGGGATTACAGGCGTGAGCCACCACGCCCGGCCTGGAATAAGTCTTTATAACCACAGAACAGGGTAGAATGGTAATTAAACTACTGAAAAATAGCTGTCATAATTAGTCATATTAAGATAGTAAGATAAGAATTTATAACCTACCTAAAAAATGTATCAGAGTAGCACAAAATTCTTTTACTGTAGGATGTTAAGAATTTCTAACTCCTGTTTATGGCAATTCTATTGTTAGATCTACACCTACCTTATTCATAGTAACATCTAAATTAGAAAAATATGAAAATGCAAGCTGCCATAAATCATAGTATGAGTTCTCCATATATGTTCACAGAGAGAAAGAGATTCCCTCACACCTCTTCTACAGTGGATGGAAGGATTTCTGAAGCTGGTGTTCAATGGCCAAAAAAGAGTCACTGCTTCACTCAAAATTTTGAGACATGTAAGCTTGAAATCTCAATCCTTTGAAGAACCTACACATGTTATTACAAGCATTTTTAACATCAGCCAACAACAACTTCACAGATGAGTCTGTGCTGACAAGAAATATAATTCTTGACCTCTCCTTCAAAAAGCAAGAGTTTTGGAATCAACTTCCACTGCTTGTCACCTACAATATGCTCAGATTTTTGACCCCCCTGTATCTCCAAGGAAAAAAAAAAAACCACCATGTCTTCATTAGGAAAAACGGAAAACGAACCAAGATTATTGTATGATTCAAACATAAATACAGTCATGAATCACTTAACAACAAGAGAAATACATCTCAGAAGCACACTGTTGGGCAATTTCACCATTATATGAACAACAGGGTATACTTACACAAACCTAGAGGCATAGCCTACAATGCACATAGGCTAAATGGTAGAGCTTATTGCTCCTAGGCTGCAAATCTATACAGTATGTGACTATCCTGAATACTGTAAGAACTGGAACACAATGGTATTTTTGTGTCTAAACATTGAAAAGGTATGATAAAATACGGCTTTACAATCCTATGGGACCACTGTCATATATGCAGTCAATCTGACTAAACCATCAATGTGTAGTGTATGACTGTACTTGGATTTTGATTATTTTCAGAAAAATAAAATGTGGTAAACTGTACTCATTTCTTCACAGAATAAGGAAATGCTGTTAAACAGAATGAAGGGTTCTGAATCATGTTATAAGTACAATAGAAACTGATCTCTCTAATAAGTGATCATAATCTTTAGCCACCAGTATAATAGAAATGTGTAAACTAGCTTTGTCTAACAACTAAATAAACTGAAATAAAACTTGTTAATAACTCATAGCCTAATTACTTGTTTACTATTTTAGCATTTCTTAAAGGTTCAATTTCATGGAGGCTGAAAAATGTAAATAAGTGGCTTTCTTATAAAGCACTCTTACAAGTATAAAATGTTTTAAAGGCAGCTTTTATTATTCATCATAGATCATAGAAATCAAGTTTTCATTGCATTTTGAGGAGCAGAAATTGTCTACTAAACTTGGAATCCAAATACAGGCAGCATTTTAAACATACTTTATTGAGTTGAATTTTAAAAGCCACTATGTACTAAGCTTTGAAAGAAGAAGAATTGCTAAATAGTCAAAGCTTTTCTAAATCTCTCTACTCCACCAATTCATTACTTTTTAAGGTTAAACCATATCTGCTATGAAAAGAAAACAGAATCAAAGTTTTTTTTCACAATAGCACAAAATGTTTATAATATGGATACTCTCCCTATTCCTGAAACTAGCATTACAAAAATAACGTGATCATATTATTTACCTTTAAAGTTTGGGTTCCCTTTATGAATCTTCAGTAAAATATCCCTGAGTGACTGTCATTCATTTTCTTTATGAACTCTCAAGTATTATATAGACCTTTATTTCACTAGGCAACTCCCTCCATTTTTAATGTCTCCAGTTGTTGGAAAGTTCCTCTTAATTCTTAACCAAATCTACTTTCTTATAACATCTATTCTTTGACACTGGTTTTGCCTTCTGAAACAAAAACTTTATCTAATTTTTATATGATAACTATTTAAATATTTGAAAGCAGCTTTCACTCCTTTCTTATAACATTTTCATGGAAGACACTTAAAACAGTGCCAGAAATGTTAAGATACATAGATACAGATAAATACTAATGGATAGACAGATATGCCTTTTAAATATTAATATTTTGGCATTTTTCTCTAAGAATAATGATACTAAAATTTAACAAAAGGAGTAAGGCTTAGTCAAAACTAAGGATTAAAAATGAGAAAAACAACTAAGGGAATGTTTAAATATGTCTTCAGTGATAAAACTGAAACAAGTAGTAAACATATTTGTGGAAGTCAGGAGAATGTGGTAGTTATTTTAAAAAGAAATGGGAACAAACAAGAGAGGCCCACTGACTATGAGGTTGGCAATGAAAACAAGCTTCAAAAAGTTAACTTGCTCAAGGTTACCCAGCTAGTAAATAACAGTCTGAAGTTGGGAAGTCCTGCTACAGAGACTGCATTCTTTTTTTTGAGACAGAGTCTCGCTCTGTCAACCAGGCTGGAGTGCAGTGGTGCGATCCTGGCTCATTGCAACCTCTGCCTCCCGGCTTCAAGCCATTCTACAGAGACTGTATTCTTAATCATACACAATACTGTCTCTCAATACTGCTTTTTTTCTGTGCTTGCTCAAGGATGATGCCCTATCAAAGCATATGTAAAGCTAATTGTTTCTATCAGAATTATAATAATTAGAAATTACCATAAAACCCAATTGCAAAAAGAAAGATGCTGTAGCTTAAGTCATGATTCAAAAGTTGCTATAGGAAAAAATACTAAGTTGATGTCTAAGTTCTGGAACTCAATTATACCAAATCTCAAAATCCTTGAAAAGTAAAACTGTAACAAAATAATAAGAAAAGAAACCTAGTGTGTTATGTTGCCATGCCTTTGATATCTTTTCCTGTTTTGAAAGTACTTCGGGGCTGGACACAGCGACCCATGCCTGTAAATCCCAGCACTTTGGCAAGCCAAGGCAGGCGGATCACGAGGTCAAGAGTTCGAGACCAGCATATGGCCACACAGAATATATCCAGAGGAAAACTGTTATTTCAACCTAAGATATCAATAGAAAGGATAAAGTCAAGTGCAACTGAAGGAGATACTGAAATATGTAAACAGTGTTGACCGATAAAGCCCAGACTTACATTTCTATGAATGAAACTTTCTGAACAGAAGTTTCTCCATAAATATTTTTAAAGGACAGTAAATTGAAGATTATAAAAGACAACTGCATAGGAAGTACCTTTTAAAGACAATATCATATCTAGAATGTATATTTTTAATACAATTTATTAATAGGAAAGCAAACAACAATTAAGTATGGACAAAATATTTGCCTACATATTTAACTAAAGAAATTACACCAATGACTAAAAAGTATAAGAAAAGATGTTTACCATCTTTAGTCATCAGGGAAGTATAACTTAAAACCTAAGACACCACTTTGCACTCATTAGGAAGGCTATGATGAAAAAGACCGACAATACCAGGTGTGAGTGTAAAAGCTGAACCTTCTTACGCTGCCAGTCAAATGGGAAATGGCATAAGCTCTTTGAAAAACAGTTCAGCAACTTCTTTAAAAATTAAACATGTACTTACTATATGATGCAACAACTGCAAATCAGTTCAAGAGAAATGGGAACATATCCACACAAACTCTTGTATGTGAATGTTCATTGCAACATTATTCATAATAGCCAAAATCTGGAAAATCAATGTCCATCAACTGGTGAATGGATAAACAAACCGTGTGGTATCTATGCAATAGAATACTGTTCATCAGGAAAAATTAACAATCTGCTGATGCATACTACACTACAGATAAGCTCAAAAACATGATGGCAAACCAAAAGAAAAAGAAAGATAACTAATTGTATGATGACATTTGTAAGAAATGAGTAGAAGAAGCAAATCTATAGAGATGAAAGTAGGCCAGTGGTTGGCTGCAGTTGGAGGTAGGAGCAGGAATTAACTGCAAATGGGTAAACTTTTGGGGGTGATAAAGTTTTCTAAAACCAAATTGTTGTCGTAGATGCACTATTATATTCATTTACTAAAAATTATTGCACTGTATACTTACCAAAAAAGTACACAAGAACAAACAGGAAACTATCAAAAAATGAAGAGGTAGACAACACATTGAAAACATGTATTTTTTTTTCACTGAGACTTAAAGCTACTGGCTAAAATGATTCTAACTTAAAAACAAAAGGAACAGTTAAAGGAAGATTCTGTATGATTTTTAACTAAAGGGATTGATTTTTATCCCTGAGAACCTACAAACCTTTAATAGAACTAAATAAAAATCTGATCTCCAATAGGAGGTACCTCCTGTTATGCTCAGGGCTACAATATTTCTTGTTAACAAAAATTAAATATGGCAAAATAAGCACTTTAAGCCTATAGATGACTATTGGGAATACATAATTCATCATGTAATCATGTACAGTGTCCTCTTACTATACACAATAAAGTAACTATACAGGAACAATGCCATTAAGCCTCCTGTGTGGTTCATTTAAAAAAAATACCATACAGCAATTTTAACCTTATACTAATTTTTAAAAACCCAGAACCAGCATGAACATCACTAATATCTGCATCAAAATATCATACATGAGCCTTGTCGCTCATAGTTTAGAAGAGTCAGTATCATTAAAATGGCCATACTGCCCAAAGTAATCTACAGATTCAATGCTATTCCTATCAAGATACCATCATTATTTTTCACAGAACTGGAAAAAACTATTCTAAAGTTCATATGGAACCAAAAAAAGAGCCCAAATAACCAAAGCAATCCTAAGCAAAAAGAACAAAGCCAGAGGCATCACATTACCTGACTTCAAACTATACTATAAGGTTACAATAACCAAAATAGCTTGGTATTATTACAGAAACAGACACATAAACCAGTGGAACAGAATAGAAAACCCAGAAATAAAGCTACACACAGCCATCTGATCTTCAGCAAAGTTGACAAAAATAAGCAATAGGGAAAGGACTCCCTATTCAATAAATGGTGCTGGGATAGCTGGCTAGCTGTATGCAGGTGAATGAAATGGGACCCCTGCCTTTTACCATATACAAAAATGAACTCAAGATGGATTAAATATTTAAATGTAAGACCTCGAACAGTAAGAATCCTAGAAGAAAACCTAGGAAACACCATTCTGGACACTGGCCTTGGGAAAGAATTTGTTACTAAGTCCCAAAAGCAACAAAACAAAACAAAAATTGACAAGTGGGACCTAATTAAACTAAAGAGCTTCTGAAAAGCAAAGTAAATGAACAGAGTAAACAACCTAAAAAATGGGAGAAAATATTCATAAACTATGCATCTAACAAAGGTCTAATAACCAAAATCTATAAGGAAGTTAAGCAAACAAAAAATAACACCATTAAAAATAGGCAAAATACATGAACAGACATTTCTCAAAATAAAACATAAAAACAGCCACCAAACATATAAAAAAATACTCAACATCACTAAATATCAGAAAAATGCAAATCAAACCCACAATGAGATACCATCTCACACCAGGCAGAATGGGTATTATTAATAAGTCAAAAGCAACAGATGCTGGCAAGGCTGTGGAGAAAAGGGAACACTTATACGTTGTTGGTGGGACTATAAATTAGTTCAGCGTTTGTGAAAAACAGTTTGGAGATTTCTCAAAGAAGTTAAAAAGAGCTACCATTTGACCTAGCAATTGCATTACTGGTTATATATCCAAAAGAAAATAAATCATTCTACTCAAAAGACACTGCACTCATATGATTATTGCAGCACTATTCACAATAGCGAAGACAGGGAATCAACCCAGGTGCCCATCAGTGGTGGATTGGATAAAGACAATGTAGTACATATATATCATGGAATATTGTGCAACCATTAAAAAGAACACATAGCTGGATGCAGCTATGCAGCCATAAAAAAAGATGCAGCTTGAGGCCACCATTCTAAGCAAACAAACACAGGAACGGAAAACCAAATACCGCATGTTCTCACTTAAAAGTGGGAGCTAAACATTGGTGCTCATGGACATAAAGATGGCAACAATAGACATTGAAGACTACTGGATGGGAAAGGGGGGACAAGGGTTGAAAAACTATTGGGCACTATGCTTAGGACCTGGGTGAGGGGATCAGTCAAAGCCCAAACCTCAGCATCATGCAATATACCCACGTAACAAACCCATACATGTACCCACTGAATCTAGATGAAGTTCAAATTATTAAAAAATAATAAATTACATTAAAAGAAAAAAGGGCAATGATCAGAGAGCAGTTCTAGAGAAAGGTAAGCAACACACAAATTAAAAATAAAGGTCTCATTCATACTTACAAGAACAGAGTGAACTCCAGGTAATTCTGAACGAAATCATGTCTCAGCTCTGCTAATGTATAGAGAAAGCTCTAATGTCAGGTTGTTCATCACTAAAGGTAACTACAGTTCAATATTTGAAATTCTCTAATAAAATATTATTATCTGAACAAAGAAGAAATGCTCACACTTTCTCAAATTAAATTAAGGTTGAAGTCAAATAATGTATTCTTGACAGCAAGATGAAACTTGTCTTTCAACGGTTTCATTATGGTATAGTAAGATTAATAAATACTTAAAAACTTTTCAATCATCGCCTCAGAAAAAGGTGGGCAACTGTCTAGAAAAGATAAGAGAGTATTCTGAAAACTGATTTGGCCACAGAAAACCAGACATTTCCTACTTTATTCTTTGAAAATTGTTTCCCAGCGTTTGATTGTAGCTTCTAATTAATAAGACAAATGAGAGCATATTTCTGGGAATTAAAAAAGAAATGTGTTTTTGTTATGCTTTTCCTCAGTTCCAACCCTGAGAACAAAAGTGAAGATGAATAACAATGCTATTGCTCTGTCGCAGGGATGATGTATTTCAAATGCTGGGTTCCTTCCAAGGTGCTATTAAAGTTCTCTCAAGTGATGCTACTAAAAAAAAATGTCAAAAGAACTCATGTTATTTATTGTTTCTCAAAATCCGTTGCTGCTTCAGGTTGTGCCTAAGTTAACACATCCATTTTATTTTGGAAGTTACTGCACAATGCTCTGATAAATGAACATAAAAGACATTAGTAGATACAGGTAATGAAAACTCGATTCCAAACCTTCATCAATCTGACAGAGACCAGAGATTTTAAAACAATGATAGTATGTAAATAAAATGCAGATCCAAACAGAGCTCCTATAGAATGTGTGACAAGTGGTCTTCTAGTCTTTATTAAGGAGACAAGCAGCAGGGTCCAAGGCATATTTTAGGAAGATGTTAGGTGAGCTCAATATTTCTCTAAAATTATCAAACCTACTGATACCTGGTGCTTTCATCTATAAGGCAGTAAGTGAATAGGGGAATAAATACGGAGACTGTTATAGGTGGAAAGGAACACAACTAATAATAGCAGTAGAAGTAATAATGAACATTTATGCAGTGCTTATCCCTGGGGTCAAAGATGCTAAGAATTTTACATGGATTATGTCATTTAATCCTCCCAAATAACTTTCTGAGGTAGGCAGCCTAAACTACCAGAGAATTATTTTAACTAATTCTTGATAACAAGATGATCCCTTCATGGTAGGTAAGTCAGATTCTCCGCACCTCTCTTTTAAAATGCATCTGAATTCACTGAAACATAGAGATGAAAGAAAGCTTCATGGCCAAGTGCGGTGGCTCACGCCTGTGATCCCAGCAATTTGATAGGCCAAGGTGGGTGGATCACCTGAGGTCAGGAGTTTGAGACGAGACCAGTCTGGCCTCAAACATGGTGAAACCCAGTCTCTACTAAAAATACAAAATTAGCTGGGTGTGGTAGTGCACACCTGTAGTCCCAGCTACTCGGGAGGCTGAGACAGGAGAATCGCTTGAACTAGGGAGGTGGAGGTTGCGGTAACCTGAGATCACACCACTGCACTCCAGCCTGGGTGAGACACAGCAAGACTCCATCTCCAAAAAAAAAAATTAAAAAAAAAATTAAAAAAAAAATCATGATCAATTGACCTCATGTATATGTATATATGTTAAGTATGATTTGTAAAGGAGTAAAAATATTAGTTTGTCTAGGTTCATTAATTTCCAATGTATAAAACTGAGGTGCAGACATTAAAAAGATTTACTAAGATCATGGCTGTCAGAGACACCTCTCTCCCAGCCTGTTGATACTTTCACCACACATCATGACCTTACCTGGCAGAGAAGGAAGCTATGTGCTATTACTCTCATTTCTAACAAAGCTATTCACTCAAACAAGATTCATTCCATACCAAGAAGCTTTGTAATCTATATCAGTAGGTTATGTTTACATGGACTAAATATTAACTGCAAACTGCTCATTAAGCTGCAAAAAAAATTCATCTCAAATTTACCACAATGTCTTGTAATTCAAAAGATCTATGCAATACATTTCCAAATTCTCAGAACAATATTTGATATACATGGAATGAAAGAAATACACAGCACAAATTAACATGGATTAATTCAGTCTTTATTCTCTACACTGAATCTGTTGGGTTTTTTAAAAACAACCAATTCATTCATACTTAATGTTTGACATCTGATAAGGAAAGATGATGATGACAGGAAGTTGAGTTTAGGGAAAGATGAAAACATACGAATACTATAATGAGGAAAAAGAAAATAGGGAGAGAGAAGAATATGTGAGGCATGGATGATCACTTAGAGAAAATGTAGAGGAAACCAAGTGATAGAATCAAAGCTTGGTCAAGCCATCTGGAAGAGTTTTTTTCTAACCTCAAGACTGTTGAATCCTGCCACTGATAACTGCGTCAGATGCCCCTCGGTGACATGCTTGCTCTTGATTTTTTTTTTTTATGGCAGACGTAGTGGTTCATTGGTATTAAATGCACAAACAAAACAGTTAAATTATGAGAGCCCTCAATGTTAGAAGAAGGAATAAATATAAATTATTTTAAAATAGCATTTTCTTATAAAAGCCAACTAAAAAATTAGAGACTTCAGACATCATAGAGGTATACATTAACAAGAATAGCTATTATGGGGAAAATAATGAAGACAAAGTCAAATTTATCAACAAAAACACAATTTTTACATATTATTTTTCTTTCTTCTTTCCATGTTTTAATAAACTGTAAATGTGAAATTTGATGACTTACTAATTTAAAAATGTTATTCATCTGGGTAAGACTGTATGTGACAACTTTACTGACCATAGTATCAATTTGGGGCAACTGTAACCTCTCAAATGTCCCATTCTGGCAAACTCAGGTGAGTAAGCAGAAATAAATATAAGGATGAGTAGATTTCTATCCTTATTTTAACTAAAAATCCTGCCTATTACTTTATTTTTAAACTGCCACTAACATGTTTAAATGATAATTGCATCTCCTCAATGAGCACAGTTCCTTATTATTGGAATTGGCAGGGGGCCTTGACATTTGAGTCATCATTTCATTATGTCTATTTCTTACCCTGGTATACAAATTAAATAGAAATAGAAGCCAAATGAAATATAAGGGGAAAAAACCTGAAGCAGTCATTTTAAAATGAATTAATTTTTCCCAAATCGATAAAATATATAAAGCAACAACATTGATAATAATATATTCTAGTTCAGAAATATTTCCAAAAACACCAACTTCAATTCTAAAGGCCAAAAATGCTTCAAATTCTCCTAGCCAAATATTGTGCTTCTGTAAAACAGAACTGATAGTTTTGATATTCCCTAAATTAAAGAGAAAGAATAACTCGTTTTAAAGCATCTACAAATGTGAACAAAAATACACATTTAACAAGTTTCTTCCATTCTAAAGGACTTCAAAATGGGTAGCAATTATTAAACATACATATAATATACATATGTGACAATTTGTATTTAAAACATCATATGATCAAATAATACTAATTCATTCAGACTAAAATATCCAAATGTGCCAAACTGGAATCCAGGTCTATCCTTAGATATTTTCAAATCACTGAACTTGTATGATAAAAACATTATTAATTTCCTAAACCACCTGATTTCGTCATATTGAATAAATGTGCATCTTTCTATCATTCTCAAATAATTTTTTTTTTGAGACAGAGTCTCACTCTTGTCACCCAGGCTGGAGTGCAGTGGCATGATCTCAGCTCACTGCAGCCTCTGCCTCCTGGGTTCAAGCGATTCTCCTGTCTCAGCCTCCTGAGTAGCTGGGATTACAGGCACCCGCCACCATGCCCAGCTCGTTTTTTTGTGTTTTTGGTAGAGATGGGGTTTCATCATGTTGGCCAGGCTGGTCTCAAACTCCTGACCTCAGGTGATCGATCTGCCCACCTCGGCCTCCCAAAGTGTTGGGATTACAGGTGTGAGCCACCACACCCAGCCATCTTTCTCGAATATTTTTTTTAAAAAACTTTCCATTGAACTTCAAAATTATAAAAATCATCAATCATGAAACTAATGCTGTATAAAATCCTCAAAAACAAGTTAAGCGCTGCTTTCAGAGGGCTATTTCCTCATTTATTTATTATTATTCCAGAATATGTATATTTTCACTGAGTCTTTAATTACTTCTACAACTCTTCTTTCCTTTAGCCCAGAGCAACCTGTCATTTCTAATAGCTAATAGCTTCCCTCAAATGCTTGGAAACAGGCTAAATAGCCTAAAAGAACTTTATTTACCCTAGTACAAAATGTTGAAAAGACACTCTACTGGAAACTGAATGGAACTATACAAATTTCTGTCCTGGAAATTAATGTTGTTTTTCCGTTTAATCACTGAAAGCATATTACTAAACATAAAAAATCATGGTTTATTTTTCTTTACATTTTATTATCTATTTTAATGTTGACTTTTTAAAATATTTTACCTGAGGGACAAAATGTTCATTTAAACCCAAATATTTTAAGATTTATTTCTGGTGTCTTTTCATCAATTATTTATAATTTATAATCCAGATTTCCCAAAGGGGATTCAAAGAAATCCACAAAAAATTTCCTAGTCTTCACTTTATTCTCTCAACTAGAGATCATGTTCTAAAGCAATGAATCTCTATTTTAATACTAAAATTTAAACAGAAGTCTCGAGATAGTCAATTCTCAGCTTTTGGGGAATACATTATTCTGCATATTAAGACAAAAATAGGATGTAAACCAGATGTTCCCAGATTATGAAATTTAGAAAAGAACATATTCAAAGTGAAGGTAACTTTTAGCATATGTATTTAAAGATATTGCAGTCACGCCCCACAATATTGAAATGCTATATTTCTCATAGTTTGACTACATTCAGTGGAAATATTCATGTGTTTATATTATCAGGTTTTTAGTGAGTTCTATCATTTTTGTAATTGCTATAGCTAGTATTAATAAATGTCTTCTTTTTATATGCTGAAATAAATTAATGGAGGAGGCAGACACTATGCAAAATGGCTGGGAATGAGGCCAAATCTTTTTACATACATCCAGGGACCAGTAATCTTCTAAATGGCACTTTAAGCTCTCTTGCCTAAATAATTACAAGTACAGCCACCATGTAATTTACTGAAATAATTATCCACTCTTCTAGTTCCCATCACCATCTCAAGTCCATAGCACTTACCTTGTCTTTATTTTCAGAGCCAGAAGCCTCAGGCTTGGTTCTAATCACAAACGGGGTAGACAGTCGCAGCAGGACCCTTTCAAAGGTGGCATTAACCTTTGGAGATACAATCTCGAAGCAGTCCTCAAACTTGAGCACTTTGTGAGTGTCACATCGAAGCTGCTTCCTTAGACCTTCCCCCAACTGAAGGACTGACATGCTGGGATCAAACATCAAGTGGAAAGGGAAGGCTCTACAGAAGGTGTTGATGCTAATTCTGAGGTCCGCAGGAACTTGGGAGGTTCCCTGTGGAAGGTTCTTCATGATATTAGTATTTTCACATTCTTTGATAAGGAAAGTAAGACAGCTACAATTGCCTGGGTTTGAAACATCAGAGCATAGCTTCTCATTTGCAACCTGTTCCACTTCCACATCCAGCCGATAGATCTTCTTTCCTGCAGCCTTAATCATCCCCAGCATTGCAAACCCCACAATATGGTGAGGGTGGAAGTAGTGGAGCATGAGAGTACCTTCAGGGAGCTCTTTGCATAGGAAAGATGGTGACTCCAGAGTGGCCTGTTTTCCAAAAGAAGTTCTAATGTGTTCCAACAAAGCATCAAAGCCGTTAAAAAAGTCCTGCAAAGTGCCACCTACAGCTCGAAGGACTCTCTCATTCTCATGAAAGCATATATTAAAGAACTCTTCACCAAATCTTTTTTGAATTTCCTCAAACTTCAAACCTAGAGGTAAATGGGAAGCAAATGTTAGTGAAGTCTAATATAAATAATTGAATTTATAGCTTTTTAAGTGCTTATCAAAAGAGTAACTACTGAATAAAGTAACAAAGGTTATTTCTCTTAGATCCACAAATTTCCACATAGGTTAATTCACTCATCTTGAATCAGAAAATATAAATTTCAGTTCATCTTCAGGATGCCTCTAAAATGTTAATGAACATGAACCTTTTTGTTTGTTTTTAAATAGACTACATATTTTTAGACCAGTTTTAGAGTCACAGCAAAATTGAGCAGAAGGCACAGTTATTTCCCATATCTCTCTGCCCCGACACATGCACAGCCTGCCCCATTATCATATCTCCCACCAGAGTGGTACATTTATTACAATCCATGAACCTACATGATGCATTATTATCATCCAAATTCCATGGTTTACATTAAGGCTCACTCTTAATATTGTATATTCTGTGGGCTTAAACAAATGTATAATGATATGTATACACTTATCATATCACTTAGAGCATTTTCACTGCCCTAAAAATCCTGTTTATCCCTTCCTTCTCCCTAACTCCCAGAGCATCAGCTTTTTAAATGTTGCTAATCTAGCTGTTCACCTTTCAATAGCCTTGCAGTAGTTATCATAAATAATATATTTTTCTTTTTCTTAATGATTTCCCCATTCTTCACAGAATATCCAAGTTGCCTACATATTATGTCCATATTACATCCATATTATCATCTTACTTCTTATCGAAATGCATGTATTAAGTGGAAAATATAAACCAGAAAAGAAATCTATGGCACATGAATGGGGATAGGCATCAAGCTATCTGGTGGAAACAAAAGGCTTACATTAGCAATCTCAGGGAAAGACATGCAGGTCAGCTAGACCTCAGGGAAAAGGAGAAAAAACAAGAAAATAATAATGACAGAACTCTGGAATGATTTACATTCTTTCACCCACAAAAGTAAGGGCAGCCAAGCATGGAGGAGGAATCTGATGAGACAGAATTAAAGGTTATTGTTAAGTTTTCTCCATATATAATCACTCCCTGATGCCCTGGCAAAAGAGTTCCACCTTATAGTGCTGGATATTACAATGAAAAATAAATAAGTGTGCACAATGTATTCTATCGTAATAAGAAGCAGGATCACATGTGATCACAAGATCCCCCCCTTGAGGATGATATGAGGAAAAATGAGGGAATTTATGTGCCAAAGAGGACTATAACACATACAAAAGATTTTGGCCTGCATATTAAAGACAGCTTCTACCTAAACTCTATTGCTTCTCCTTTGACATTGGTTGAAATCAATACATGTAGTTTACATATTCATATTTTCTTGCCCCATTTCCATCATCTCATTTGAAGTCCTGCAAATCAGGCAGGACTGGGAAAAGAAGGTCACTTTGCTAGCGCCCCATTAGAGTGCAGAGCAATCTAGGCTGTCTACAGCTTAGCTGCTTTCCTACCTTTATCATTCCCTGAGTGTTCCTCCCAGCCAGAAGTGAGGCAAATGAACAGAGTGAATAATATTGTTTTTAAAATAGTCAAAGCACATCTAATATTCTTTAAGAGCTTACTATAGAGTCTAAAACTTCTGGTAGCCAAGAAGTCAGTTTGACAAAGAACTTCTTAAAATCAATGTGATAGGAAAATGAGTAGAAAACCTAAGTGAGAAACAGTCCCTTTATTAATAAGCATTTCATATTCATTTTGGTTTCATGGATTGGATGCTCAAGACTTGTTGAGAAAGTCACTTATTAAGATAAAAATATCACCACTCATGTCACATTGCCAGGTTACAAGACTGCTCTTCAACATGTGTTGCATTCACTAACAATAATGTCAGCCAGAATAGACAATAATAGTACTTATCTGTCCAGTTCTCTAGTGTAGAAGAGAAAACAAAGACAGACAATATTCACTGCCATTAGTCTCCTGTTCCAACTGCTCTGTTGAAACTGCTTTCATAAATACTTAAATCAATACATACTGTTTTGTCCTTATCTTACTTAACCTTGTTTGCTGTTTTTCCTTTAATTTGACACTATTAATCATCCCTTCCTCCTAAAACTCTCATCTCTTTTGGCTTATCAAACCATACTCTCCTGGTTTGATTACTCTGCATGAACATTAATTCTCACTTCCTTCACTAAAACTTCTTTCTATGCCAAATCCTTACATCACCATCACTATGTTATAACTAGAAAACTCTAAGATACAAGTTAAATTTATATACACATTCAATGACAGTCCTTTGTTGCTATGAAATCTTCCAGTTATGAAATTCTTATTAAAAACTAAATACAGAATAAATAAAAATTCCTATAAACTGACCATATATGCTGAACTACAATATTCCGTGTGTCACTGAAAATATTCCATGGATTGCTTCTAAACTTTGAAGAACTGTATTTTCAAAAGACTTCAGGTCCATGTGCATTGAAGAGAAAAAGAGAAGTTCTTCTAACTTGCATTTTTCATAACATTGAAAAGGTCCTCACAGTTATGGTGCACACAAATGTAAAGACAATACAGTGTAAGCTTATGTTCTGTGCCTAATGCCAGGATCCCAAAGAATCATCCAGAAAATAAGAAGTTCACCATAGGCAACAAACTAAAAACTACTCTATGCGCAGCAATCTATCAACTAGAAAGCCTGCTGCTTTATAAAGGACCTCTGTACTTTAAGGTACAATATTGTTAATTTTCAAATGATGATGCTAAGGAATACCAGATGCTAAAGTGACGGTTGTATTACTAAAAAAAAATGAATTTTTTTGAATATTACATTAAAATATTATGAATGGCAATTCTATATAAACCCATAATATTCAATTAACTAATAAAGATTTTTATTCCCAGAACTGTTAAACTGCACAAGATCAGAAAAGAAAAAAGTTATTAGATTTGAAAATATTAAAACTAAGAAAAGATTACTTCAACTTTTACAAATATACAAGTCAATAGCCAAGACTTTGATTTTAAACTTTAATCTCAAAATTCAGAAAGCACAGACAAAGTAATTCAATTCAGACAACTGATGCAATTCTGACTCCCAAAGTTCCGCCTACGATTGACGCAAACCCCCTACTTACAGTAAATCATTTGAAACATATAGACAATGCTAATCTCCTCACATCACAAGATTCTATGACAGCTTGACATCTGGGTCTATAAGAATACATTTCCTCAAGTGGCAAAATTTATAACAAAGCTGCTCTTATTAATGGGTAAGTTAAGTTAGAATTTTTAACTACTGTTAATTCACCTCTTTAAAAAGGTGAATAGCATAAATGCTGGCATCCTTTAGCTGTAAATGAAATACGATCTGTTCCTTCATGATCTGGCCCTGTTGTCTCTCATCTGCTATCCCACCCCACCTCAGATGGCATTTCTTGAGGACAAGGACCTTGCCCTATTTATGTCTGCGTATCTATCACTGGCATAATGCCTGACACCTGGAGAATAAGCATTGTTTCATAGAAATTAAGCATTCATCTAAGTATTTGTTTGGTGAATATTACTAACCTTTTAAGGTTGCACTTGTGCCACATCTAAGGATATGAAAACAAAAAGACACATGACTTTCTCTCATGGGCCCCTACAAAACAGTAAATTACATTATGGTTGGGCTACAACAGGGGTACACAGGAGTACCCACGGAAGTAGAAGAAAAACAGTATCTGCCTCTCCTCAGAGAGACAATGTTTGAAGGGAGACTTAAATAAAAAAACAGGTTAGGCTGGGCACAGTGGGTCATGCCTGTAAACCTAGCACTTTGGGAGGCCAAAGCAGGCTGATTGCTTGAGTCCAGAAGTTCAAGACCCAGCCTGCCCAACATGGTGAAACCCCATATCTAGAAAAAAGTACAAAAATTAGCAGGGCATGGTGGTACATGCCTGTAGTCCGTAGTCCCAGCTACTCGGGAGGCTGAGGTGGGAGAATCACTGGAGCCCAGGATGTTGAGGTAGCAGTGACCCGTGATCATACCACTGCACTCCAGCCTGGGCAACAGAGTGAGACCCTGTCTCCAAAAAAAAAAAAAAAAAAAAAGCAGGTGGTCCCAGCCTGGGCAACATGCCTAAACCCTGTCTTTACTAAAAATACAAAAAAAGAGCCAGGCATAGTGGTGCAGGCCCGCAGTCCCAGCTACTCTGGAGGCTGAGGTGGGAGAATCACCTGAGCCCAAGCAAGTCTAGGCTGCAGTGAGCTGTGACTGCACCACTGTACTCCAGCCTGAGTGACAGAGTGAGACCTTGTACTGAAAATTACTGTAGAAGAGTGTAAATGTCAGGAAGCATTCACTGGGGAGCCATCTTTGGGAGGAGAAAGAAGATCACAAAAAATAACTGAACGGTACCAGGTTTAATATCTGAGTGGCGAAATAATCTGAACACCAAACCCCCATGACACAAGGTTACCTATATAACAAACCTGCACATGTACCCCTGAATTTAAAATAAAATTTTTTAATCTGTGAATTTATGTTTTAAAACATACATCAGAAATAAATTTTAACAATGAGAAATGTGGTATAATGAAGATGAAGCCAACCCCCATGTGAGTACTCTGAAACGAATTTTTTCACCTAGTAACCACATCTAACAAGTGCAGTATCATAAACATACACTACAAAACTATCAGTGTTACTCCTTCCTTTCAAATCACAAAGCACATGTCCGTGTCTTTCTTATAAAATAGCAGATAGTCCCTTGTAGTATTTTTTCTGTGATCCTTCTATTTTCCATAAACATATTTAGAGGAACAACCTCTAAAAACACTATAATGTAGAATGAGAAAAAAGAAACCAATGGAAGAAGGACTATAACTAAATGAATTACAGAGAGAATTTCCCCTGAACCATGGAAAATCCTACATCTACAGATGGAAAAAGCATAAATTGCAACCAGGAATGATAAGAAACACAGACACACACACACACCCCTAAGAATATCTGGTTGGATTCCTGAAAAAAAAAAAAGAGAGAGAGAGATAAAGAAGATCTTTTAAGTTGCAAGAGAAAACAGGTAATTAAAAAAAATTTACTTTTCATCTGCAACAATGAAAGCTAGATGATGAGAGAAAAATACAGGTGAGATACTGAGAGAACTGAAACCTAAAAGTTTATCACCCAGAAGAGTATCTGGCAAAGATTCAGAGATTCCATCACTCAGTGAAACACCTTAGAAAATGAAAAAAAACAAAAACAAAAAAAACAAAACAAAAAAACACATTAATCGATCAAGAAATCACTCAGAATGAAGAAGTAGAGGAGTCTGGTTAAGAGAAGAAGGAAAAGTAGACACATTAGTGAGCAATGAACCCTACAACACACACATAGACACATGCTTTCTGATGTATGTGTACATATACATCATATACAAATGTGTACATACATACAAATGTCCACACATTTATACATATTAGACATGTATTATGGATAATGACCTATTACCTGGACAGTTGTAGTATGAACATTAATTTTAAATTACTGATACAGGCCGGGTGCGGTGGCTTACGCCTGTAATCCCAGCACTTTGGGAGGCCGAGGCGGGCAGATCACCTGAGGTCAGGAGTTCGAGACCAGCCTGACCAACATGGAGAAACCCTGTCTCTACTAAAAATACAAAATTATCTGGGCATGGTGGCGCATGCCTATAATCCCAGCTACTTGGGAAAGCTGAGGCAGGAGAATCGCTTGAACCTGGGAGGCGGAGGTTGCAGTGAGCTGAGATCACACCACTGCACTCCAGCCTGGGCAACAAGAGCGAAACCCATCTCAAAAAACAAACAAACAAACAAACAAAAAAGCTACTGATACATAGAAAAACTACCAAACTACCACAAGGTAAATTTTGTTCATATTCTGAAACTAAACAATCTCAGCAAACCACAGGACTTGGATGGTGAGGAGAGGGGAGAAGGTAGAGAGGAGAAAAGTAAACCTATTCTAAAAGTTTCTTCTTAAGGGGATTTGGGGGGATAGGAATAATATAATCTTAGAAAGAAAATAATTGATATTTTGTTTTAAAATAATAAAAAACCCATGGGTCTAATTCTACTAAGAGAAAAAGGAAGATAATCAATAATGAAATGGGAAATTGGAGTAGAACTCTCCAAATACAAGGTCAAATATTATGTATATGTCAACATGATCAAAACAGCAAAAGACCAGAAACAAAAACAATGTAAAAGAAATATGATAAATCAAGAAAATCATATAGCTCACGGATTAAAGTAAATGTAAATGAATAAATCATCCCATTAAATGAGAAAACTCTCACAAGAATTGTACTTATAAAAGGTGATTAAAAAATAAAAGGTTGAAAATGAGTCAACAGGCAAAGAATTCAAAGAAACTGCAAGAAAAAAAGCAGCAATGGAGGGGCAATATTAATATCAACAAGGTAGAATAAGGGGAGAAGTGATAAACAGAATAAAAAGAGACAAAGTAAAACAAAATCACAATTTACAAAGAAGACCTAAGAGACATAAACCAAGCAACATTGTAGCTAAATATATAAAGCAAAAACAATTAGGAATTAATTACTAATGAGTATGGGGTTTCTTTTTGGAGTGATGAAAATGTTCTAAAATTGATTGTAGTGATGGTTGCAAAACTTTGTGAATATATTAACAACCATCGAATTGTACACTTTTGTTAGGTAAATTGCATGGTATGTAAATCATATTTCAATAAAGCATTATATAGTTTCAAAATTATATATTTTCAAAATTAAGAATGAAAGAAGAGGCTGGGCACAGTGGCTCACACCTGTAATCCCAGCACTTTGGGAGGCCGAGGCGGGTGGATAATGAAGTCAGGAATTCGAGACCAGCCTGGCCAAGATGGTGAAACCCATCTCTACTAAAAAATACAAAAATTAGCTGGGCGCAGTGGCAGGTTCCTGTAATCCCAGCTACTCATGAGGCTGAGGCAGGAGAATCGCTTGAACCTGGGAGGCAGAGGTTGCAGTGAGCCAAGATCGCACCATTGCACTCCAGCCTGGGTGACAAAGCAAGACTCCATCTCACAAAAAAAAAAAAAGAATGAAAGAAGAAATCTATACAACTATAATTATAGTAGGAAACACTAATACATGTCTCTCAGTACCAAGCTATGTAACGAATAGATCAGCAAAATCATAGAGAAATTAAAATTATATACAACAGAACAATGAAGATAAAAGAAAACCTTGATAAAAATAAAATTTTAGTGAAAAACTTTAATGTGTCCTTTTGAGAAATCAAAAGATCAAAACTAAAAAGCAAAATCAGAGAAATTAAATAAATGTTAATAATAAAAACTAACAAAAAGGCAAAGTCAGAAAAATAAAATAGCAAAAGCAACAAACTCAAAACATTTGTATATGTACATATGTATTATATGTATGTAAAATTACAAAAATTGCTCAAATACTTGATCATAAAAACCCCATAAAATATTTTAAAGATTTTACAGATCACATTTTTAATAATAAACAGAAATAACCAAAAGGTGGCATATATATTTGAGAGTTAAGCAATACATTCTCTTGGATTACAGGGAAAGTCAAAATTGGAATTATAACTTTTAGAAATCAATAAAAAGGAGCCTGCATCATACACAATTCTGAGGTACAACAAAACTATACTCAAGGAAAATGCCAGAAATGTTTTCAGCAACAAAAATAAATAAGTAAATAAAGAGCTTCCAAATTAAGAAAACTGTAATGAGCTTAAGAAAAAAACTATGGAGTAGGAATTAATAGATAAAAGCTGAAATTAAGAAAGAAAGTAACTAAATTGGAATAAGAATACATAGGCACATATTAAGACGAATTAGATAAATCAGAAAAGAAACATGCAACTTGCTGTGAACAAATGTGTAAATGGAATGGAAATGGGTAAGTATCTGGCAAAGTATAAATGACCAAAGTTGACTCAAGAAGAACCTGAGTTCTGGCTAGCAATTAGGAAAAAAACTAGATGACTGCAAAGTTTTTAAAATATTTTCCGGCCATAGAAAAAAATTAAAATCACTCAATTCTTTTTATTAATCCCAAATAACTTTATGTCAAAAGCTGATACAGTATACTAAGACCAATTTCTCTTATGAATATTTGCAAAAATAGTAGCAGATAGAATCTAGCGATTTATAAAAGAATAAATCATCATGACCAAGTAGGATTTATATCAGAAATGAAACGGTAGTTCAGCAGTGGAAAATATATCAGCATAAATTATTACATTCATAAAAGTAAACAAAATATGATCATATCAGTAGATTCTGAAAAGTGTGAGATTCAAGTCTTAATAAGCATTTTGAATAAAATAAGATATAAAGAAACTGTTCAAATATAATAAAAGATCTTTTCCAAAAACCAGAAGCAGCTTATTCTAAATAGCAAAATACTAAAAACATTTTAACTAAAATCAGAAATTTGACAAGTATGCTTGCTATCATCGTTTTCAATATTATCTTGGAGGTTCTAGAAAATACTGTGAGATATGAAAATAAAATAACCAGTAAACACATTGCAAAAAAGCATAAAATTATGTCATTTTGCTGAAGTAAATCTGTGTATATGAGAAGTTTTAATATACCACAGAACAGTATTTCAATTCAAAGGGAAAAGAATGGTTTACTTAATAAATGGCACTAGCCATCTGGAAAACAATAAAATTAAATCCCATCTCATGCCTCAAACAAAATCAAATTCCAGATCAATTAAGATCGTACAATGCAAAAGATGAAGCAATAAATATTTTAGAAGATCTAGGGGACGGTATGTATGCCTTAACCAAAACAAGCAAACATATAAAAAAGATGTAAAAAGATGCTTGATTTTGTATGATATAAAGCTAAGCTAAAACTGTCAAAATAATTTAGAATATGATTTTTTTATTTTAATAAAATTACGATTGTGTGTGTGTGTTGTGTGTAAGTTCATAATGCATCTCCCCTGACATTCTGCTAGTCTCTCTATCCTAAATACCACTACTTTGTTTTAGGCCACCATGATCAGTAGTCTAGAATTATACATCTCATCATATTGTTTCTCTGGAAAGCCCTCCAATGACTGTTGCCTTCTGAATAAAGTCCAAAATCAGCAAGGCTTAGTCCAGCTTTTACTTACTAGCCCATCCTTCCCTCTCTCAGTCCCCCATTTCACACCTCTATACCAGCCATTATGAACCACTTTTCAGTTTCCTGAACATGCTCAACAATCTCTCTCTCATTTACAGGCTTCTGTACATGGCTGGTTCTGTGTTTTGTTTTATTTTGTTTTTTAACTAGGATTCTGTTCTCCTACCTACCCCACTTAGCTAGTTCTCTGCTTCACTTATTTTGCATATCTTCACACCAAAATTCCTTCAGAATGCTTTCCTTGACACTCTGAGACCGAGATAGATGTCTCTACTTGTTAGGCTTCCAAAGCACCTTGTGATTACCCCCAGCCTAATATTTCCCACACAATAGCTGCTAATGTGTCCAATCCCTCAACCAGACTTAACCTCTTGAAGAAGAAAAAGGAAATGTCAACTAGGCCACCAAAAAAGAGTAGATAGATAGGGGAGGAAGGAAACCATTCCAGACTGAAGAAACATATATGCTAAGGTCCAGAAAGACAAACTATGGAGTTTTAGAGAAACTAAATGAAGACCACTATAGTAACCCTAATCTTTGGTACCGTGCCTTGTCTGTGGTGAATCTATAAAAGAATGAATATAAAACCAATGGATTAATGAAAACAAATACATCTGGATGTGACTGATCATATGTCCAGGCATAATATATGTAGTGATAGAAATTCATATGTGTGCATACATGATTTTTCCATTGCTATATTTTGTACCCTTCAGTATTCACTGGCAGGCCTTTTATCACAAGCTTGGGCAAGTTATGCCAAATGACTAATTTAATAGGTGTGAATGCTTATTGTTTGACAAATTCTTGTTCCTTTGCCAACAAGGAGCCACAGGTGTTGAGTGCTAAGAAGGGGACAGGTTCAGGGAAGCACATGTCTAATCAGGCAGCCTTCTCAGGCCACTGTGCTATGCCTGCTATCAGATGCTGGCAACCTGGCAGGTGACAAAGGGCTCATCACATTCCCCAGCCTTCCTTCTTCAGCACCCTGGCATATTGCCAGAGAAGACACAAAGCCAGCAGCAGCCCAGCAGCAGCCCAGCAGCAGTAAGGTGCAGAGTCAAAGAATGAGCAGACATGAGCTAATTACAAAGAGGAGCTGCAGGAGCACCTGCTTCAGCTCTGTGCCCACACCTGGCCCCTTATTCTGGAATGCAATCTGCCACACTGAAAATAGGGCAGTGGCTCCCAAGATTTGGAATCTCCCTGCAGATAAGTATTCTCATCACTTCTCACGCCTTTACTTTTTACCAGTCTCTTACCCGCTGGTGAAGAAGGTGGGGGAGGGGATTACTGTGACGTACATAGATTCTGGCTTTTGCTGATGATGACTAGCCCTGTTCAAATTGGCGGCCACAGAAGAGGCAGCAGGAAAGCATGATTTCCACATGGACCGATCCTCGGAGGGCTTACTCAGAGCTGTTAATCAATGCCAATGCCTCTTTAATGGTCACTTTTTTAAATTTCTTCTAAAAAAATGGGATACATGTGCAGAACGTGCAGGTTTGTTACATAGGTATGCGCTTGCCATGGTGGTTTGCTGCACCTATTGACCCATCCTCTAAGTTCCCTGACCTCACCCCTCACCCTCCAACAGGCCATGGTGTGTGTTGTTCCCCTCTCTGTGACCATGTGTTCTCAATGTTCAACTCCCACTTATGAGTGAGAACATGCAGTGTTTGGTTTTCTGTTCCTGTGTTAGTTTGCTGAGAACGATGGCTTCCAGCTTCATCCATGTCCCTGCAAAGGACATGATCTCACTCATTTTTATGGCTGCATTTTATTCCATGGTGTATATGTACCACATTTTCTTTATCCAGTCTATCATTGATGGACATTTGGGTTGGTTCCATATCTTTGTTATTGTAAACAGTGCTGCAATAAACATACATGTGCATGTGTCTTTATAGTAGAATCATTTATACTCCTTTGGGTATATACCCAGTAATGGGGTTGCTGGGTCAAATGGTATTTCTGGTTCTAGATCCTTGAGGAATCGCCACACTGTCTTCCACAATGGTTGAACTAATTTACATTCCCACCAACAGTACAAAAGCATTCCTACTTCTCCACAGCCTCGCCAGCATCTACTATTCCCTGACTTTTTAATAATCACCATTCTGACTGGCGTGAGATGGTATCTCATTGTGCTTTTCATTTGCATTTCTCTGATGATCAGTGATGTTGAGCTTTTTTTCATGATTGTTGGCTATGTAAATATCTTCTTTTGAGAAGTGTGTGTTCACATCCTTTGCCCACTTTATGATGGGGTTGTTTGGTTTTGTTTTTGGAAATATGGTTAAGTTCCCGGTAAATTCTGGATATTAGCCCTTTGTCAGAAAATTTCAAAACTTTTCTCCCATTCTGTAGGTTGCCTGTTCACTCTGATGATAGTTTATTTTGCTGTGCAGAAGCTCTTTAGTTTAATTAGACCCCACTTGTCAATTTTGGATTTTGTCGCAATTGCTTTTGGTGTTTTTGTCATGAAGTCTTTGCCCATGCCAATGTCCTGAATGGTATTGCCTAGGTTTTCTTCCAGAGTTTTTATGGTTTGGGTTTTTACATTTAAGTCTTCAATCCATCTTGAGTTAATTTTTGTATAAGGTGTAAGAAAGGGGTCTAGTTTTACTTTTCTGCATATGGCTAGCCAGTTTTCCCAGTACCATTTACTAAATAGGAGATCCTTTCTCCATTGCTTGTTTTTTGTCAGGTTTGTCAAAGATCAGATGGTTGCAGATATGTGGTGTTATTTCTGAGGTCTCTGTACTGCTCCATTGGTCTATATGTCGGTTTTGGTACCAGTACCATGCTATTTTGGTTACTGTAGCCTCGTAGTATACTTTGAAGTCAGGTAGCATGAGGTCTCCAGCTTTGTTCTTTTTGCTTAGGATTGTCTTGACTATACAGGGTCTTCTTTGATTCCATATGAAATTTAAAATAATTTTTTCTAATTCTGTGAAGAATGTCAATGGTAGTTTGATGTGAATAGCATTGAATCTGTAAATTACTTTGGGCAGTATGGCTATTTTCACGATATTGATTCTTCCTATCCACGAGGATGGAATGTTTTTTCCATTTGTTTATGTCTTCTCTTATTTCCTTGAGCAGTGGTTTGTAGTTCTCCTTGAAGAGGTCTTCACATCCCTTGAAAGTTGTATTCCTAGGTATTTTATTCTCTTTGTAGCAATTGTGAATGGGAGTTCATTCATGATTTGGCTCTCTGCTTGCCTATTATTGGTGTAAAGGAGTGACTGTGATTTTTGCACACTAATTTTGCATCCTGAGACTTTGCTGAAGTTGCTTATCAGTTCAAGAAGTTTGTGGGCTGAGATGATGAGGGTTTTTTTTTTCTTTTTAAACAGAGTCTTGATCTATTGCCCAGGCTGGTACACTCTCAGCTCACTGAAACCTCCACCTCCTGGGTTCAAGTGATTTTCCTGCCTCAGCCTCCCAATATCTGGGACTACAGGTGTGCACTACCACACCTGGCTAATTTTTGTATTTTTAGTAGAGTCAGGGTTTCACCATGTTGGCCAGTCTGGTCTCGAACTCCTGACCTCAGGTGATCTGCCTATCTCAGCCTCCCAAAGTGCTGGGATTACAGGTATGAGTCACCGCACCCAGCCAGGGTTTTCTAAATATAAAATCATGTCATCTGCAAACAGAGACAACTTGACTTCCTCTCTTCTTGTTTGAATACCCTTTATTTCTTTCTCTTGCCTGATTGCCCTGGCCAGAACTTCTAATACTATGTTGAATAGGAGTGGTGAGAGAGGGCATCCTTGTCTTGTACCAGTTTTTAAAGGAATGCTTCTAGCTTTTGCCCATTCCATATGATATTGGCTGTGGGTTTGTCATAAATAGCTCTTATTTTGAGATATGTTCCATCAATACCTAGTTTATTGAGAGTTAACATGAAGCGATGTTCAATTTTATCAAAGGCCTTTTCTGAATCTGTTGAGATAATCATGTGCTTTTTGTCTTTGGTTCTGTTTATCTGACGGATTATGTTTATGCATTTGCATATGTTGAACCAGCCTTGCATCCCAAGGATGAAGCCCACTTGCTCATGGTGGATAAGTTTTTTGATGTGCTGCTCATTCAGTTTGCCAGTATTTTATTGAAGATTTTTGCATCGATGTTCATCAGGGATATTGGCCTGAAGTTTTCTTTTTTGTGTGTCTCTTCCTAATTTTGGTATCAGGATGATGCTGGCTTCATAAAATGAGTTAGGGAAGACTCCCTCCTTTTCAATTGTTTAGAATAGTTTTAGAAAGAATGGTACTAGCTCCTCTTTATATTTCTGGTAGAATTCAGCTGTGAATCCATCTGGTCCTTGCTTTTTTTTTTGGTTGGTAGGCTATTAATTACTGCCTCAATTTTAGAGCTTGTTATTGGTCTATTCAGGGATTCAACTTCTTCCTGGTTTAGTCTTGGTAGGGTGTATGTGTCCAGGAATTTATCCATTTCTTCTAGATTTTCTAGTTTATTTGCGTAAAGGTGTTTATAGTATTCTCTGATGGTAGTTTGTATTTCTGTGGGGTCAGTGGTGATATCCCATTTATCATTTTTTATTGTGTCTACTTGATTCTTCTCTCTCTTATTAGTCTAGCTATTGGTCTATCTATTTTGTTAATTTTTTCAAAAAATCAGCTCCTGGATTCATTGATTTTTGGAGGTTTTTCATGTCTCTATCTCCTTCAATTCTTCTCTGATCTTAGTTATCTCTTGTCTTCTGCTACCTTTTGGATTAGTTTGTTCTTGCCTCTCTAACTCTTTTAATTGTGATGTTAGGGTGTCAATTTGAGATCTTTCTAGCTTTCTGATGTGGGCATTTAATGCTATAGATTTCCATCTTAACACTGTTTTAGCTATGTTCCAGAGATTCTGGTATGTTGTCTCTTTGTCATTGGTTTCAAAAAACTTTTTGATTTCTGCTTTAATTTCATTATTTACCCGGGAGTCATTCAGGAACAAGTTGTTCAATTTCCATGAAATTGTGTCGTTTTGAGTGAGTTTCTTAATCCTGAGTTCTAATTTGATTGCACTGTGGTCCAAGAAACTGTTACGATTTCAGTTCTTTTGCATTTGCTGAGGAGTATTTTATTTCAAAATATGTGTTCAATTTCAGGGTAAGTGCCATGTGGCACAGGAGAAGGACGTATATTCTGTTGATCTAGGGTAGAGAGTTCCGTAAATGTCTACTAGGTCCACGTGATCCAGAGCTGAGTTCAACTCCTAAATATCCTTTTTAATTTTTTCTCTCATTGATCTAATACTGAGAGTGGGGTGTTAAAGTCTCCCACTATTATTGTGTGGGAGTTTAAGTCTCTTTGCAGGTCTCTAAGAACTAGTTTTATGAATCTGGGTGTTTCTGTATTGGGTACATATATATTTAGAATAGTTAGCTCTTCTTGTTGAATTCTTCCCCTTACCATTGTATAATACCCTTGTCTTTTTGTATTTTTGTTTGTTTAAAGTCTGTTTTGTCAGGGACTAGGATTGCAACCCCTGCTTTCTTGTTTTTTTCTTTCCATTTGCTTGGTAAATTTTCCTCCATCCCTTTATTTTGAGGCTGTGTGTGTCTTTGCATTTAAGATGGGTCTCCTGAATACAGCACACAGATGGGTCTTGACTCCTTATTCAATTTGCCAGTCTGTGTCTTTTTTTTTTCTTTTTTTTGAGACAGAGTTTTGCTCTTGTTGCCCAGGCTGGAGTGCAATGGCATGATCTCGGCTCACCGCAACCTCCCAGGTTCAAGCAATTCTCCTACCTCAGCCTCTCAAGTAGCTGGGATTACAGGCATGTGCCACCATGCCCAACTAATTTTGTATTTTTAGTAGAGATGGGGTTTCTCCTTGTTGGTCAGGCTGGTCTTGAACTCCCAACCTCAGGTGATCCACCCATCTCAGCCTCCCAAAGTGTTGGGATTACAGGTGTTAGCCACCATGCCCGGCCCAGTCTGTCTTTTAAGTGGGGCATTTAGCCCATTTACATTAGTATTGTTATGTGTGAATTTGATTCTGTCAACATGATGCTATTTGGTTATTTTGCATAATAGTTGATGCAGTTTCTTCATGGTGTCATTGGTCTTTATATTTTGCTGTGTTTTTGCAGTACCTGGTACTGGTTTTTCCTTTCCATATTTAGTGCTTCTTTTAGGAGCTCTTGCAGGGCAGGACTGGTGGTAATGAAATCCCTCAGCATTTGCTTGTCTGGAAATGATTTCATTTCTCCTTTGCTTATGAAGCTCAGTTTGGCTAGATGTGAAATTCTGGGTTGAAAATTATTTAAGATATTAAATATTGGCCCCCAATCTTTTCTGGCTTGTAGAGTTTCTGCTGAGAGGTCCACTGTTAGTCTGATGGACTTCCCTTTGTAGGTGACCTGGCCTTTCTCTCTGGCTACCTTTAACAGTTTTTCCTTTTTTTGACCTTGGAGAAACTGATAATTATGTGTCTTGGGGTTGATCTTCTTACAGAGTATCTTAATGATGTTCTCTGTATTTCCTGAATTTTCATGTTGGCCTGTCTTGCTAGGTTGGGGAAGTTCTCCTGGATAATATTCTGAAGTGTGTTTTCCAGCTTGTTTCCATTCTCTCCATCTCCTTCTGGTACTCCAATCAATCGCAGATTCTGTCCTTTTATCAAGTCCCATACTTCTTGAAGACTTTGATCATTCTTTTTTCTCTATTCTTGTCTGCATGTCTTATTTCAGTAAGGTAGTTTTCAAACTCTGATAGCCTTTCTTCTGCTTGGTCAATTTGGCTGTTGATACTTGTGTATGCTTCGTGAAGTTCTCATGCTGTGTTTTTCAGCTCCATCAGGTCATTTATGTTTCTCTCTAAACTGGGTATTCTAGTTAGCAATTCCTTTTATCAAGTTTCTTAGCTTCGTTGCATTGGGTTAGAACAAGCTCCTTTAGCTCATCATAGTTTTTTATTATCCATCTTCTGAAGCCTACTTCTGTCAATCCGTCCATCTGATCCTCCCTCCAGTTCTGTGCCCTTGACATTGTAATCATTTGGAGATGAAGCACTCTGGCCTTTTGGGTTTACAGCATTTTTTCATTGATTCTTTCTTACCTTCCTCAATTTGTCTACTTTCAGTCTTTGAGCCTGCTGATCCTTGGATAGGGTTTTTTGTGGAGGCCTTTTTGTTGTTGTTGTTGTTGTTGATGCTGTTGTCACTTTCTGCTTGTTTTTCTTTCAATAATTGGTCCCTCTTCTGTAGGACTGCTGCAGTTTGCTAGGGGTTCACTTCAGGTCGTATTCATGTGATTCGCTCCAGTTCCTGGAGATGTCATTCAAGGAGTCTGGAGAGCAGTAAAGATGGGTGCCTGCTCCTTCTTCTGGGACCTCTGACCTCGACAGGCACCAACCTGATGCCAGTAGGATGACTCCTGTATAGGGTGTCTGACAACCCCTGTTGGAGGGTCTCACCCAATCGGGTGGCACAGGGAGCAGGACCCATTTAATGAAGCACTTTGTCCTTTGGTGGAGAGGGTATGTTTCACTAGGGGAAAACCCACTCATCTGAGCTGCCTGGATTTCTCAGAACTACCAAGAGGAGACAGCAAGTCTGCTGGTCCCCAGAGACTGTGGCCATCCCTCTCCCTAGGGACTCAGGCCCAGGGAGATCTGAATTCTGTCCCCGAGCCTCTAGCTGGAGTTATTGGAGATCCTGCAGGGAAGCCCCGCCCACTGAGGAATGATGGGTTGGGATTAGGCCTGAAGAGGCACTCTAGCCGCAGACTGCCACAGAGGGTGTGTTGGGCTGTGGGGACAAGTCTTGGGAGCAAGTCGTCCAGCCTCCCTGGCTCTAGCTCTAGCAGGGGAAAGTACAGCCTGGAGCTATAGAAATGGGTGTGCCCACCCTGCCCAGGGAGCTTAGTGTGTTAGGCAGTTGCAAGTCCCAGTGCTGACTCTTGCCCCTCCCCCCAGGAGCTCAAATGGCTTAGACAGCAGGCAGCCACAGCTGGTGCTGGTTGCCTCTTCTTCCCCCCTCCCCACCAGCAACCCCCACTTCCTGAGTTCCATAGGCTTAAGCAGACTCCAGCTGAGAGGCTGTAAGAATCTGCATGTTCCAAGGCTGGGACGCTAGGCCCTGGTGGCGTGGGTTCACGAGTGGGATCTTCCAATCCATGGGTGGCAGGGTTCTGTGGAAAAAGCAGTTTCCCTAGCGCACTCACTCACCACCGCCTCCTTTGGCTTGGGGAAGGGGCTTCCCCTTCCCCGTGTGGCTCTCAGGTGGGCCTTCTCACTACACTGCTCTTCCTTCTCTCTGTGGTCAGGCCAGCCTTCTTGTCAATTTTGGCGAGAGAACCTGAATACCTTGGTTGCTGATGAAGGATTCACATGCTTAGATTTTTTTTCCAGTGGGAGCCTCTGAACACGCAGCTTCCAGTCGGCCATCTTGGCCCCGCCTCCAAAAAAAATGGTCACTTTTTTTTTTAAATCACTAAATTGTGATTCACCCTCCTCAACTGCTCCAACCAAGTGTTGGGAGCTATGCTGCAGTCCAGTCTGAGCAAAGGGACAAACTTTTTTTTTTTTTTTTTTTTTTTTTTTTTTTTTTCAGAAAAAAAAGGTGTTGTGGTAAAGAAATGAAATTGATGGAAATCTAAAATTTTTTTCAATTTTCCTATTGAATTAGGTAATAAATACTTAGCCAAAGGTCTAAAATGTATTTCATTAGACAAACAGCATTAGATGTTAAGAGTGACAGAAATTAGTATGTTATTGTGTTTCCATGCTGTAGCTATTACAGTAGCATCACAGCATTTTTACAGCATTCACAAGCAATGCTAATACTTCTATACTTCTGGAAGATGAAATCTTATGATTACGTATATATTTGTTTAAAGCAGAATTTGTGAATACACCATTTAGTATAACATTGATTCATGAAGCCATCAAGTACATGAGAACTTGACTGATAACCAGTCCAATCTCTCTCAAAACACAGCAGATCTCATAGACAGTCATCTTTCCTCTACTTAAACAGCACCCTGATGAGCAGCTCAGGAAGCTTGCTCTTCCAAAACTGAATATCTCCAGTAATTACAAAATTCCTTCCTTCTTGCATGTGGGGCAAAATCTATTCCTATAATTTTAGTCCACTAGTTCTAATATACCCTCATATACTAGGTGGTGATTTGAACAAATCTCCTCTTCTCACAGAAGTCCTTTAAAGTATCTGAAAATAGTTCTCATGTTCTCCTGTCTTTTCTCATCTTGTATTTTTCAAAGAAGTAATTCCAAGTGCATTAAAGGCAGCTTTAAAGAACTGTTTAATATAAAAAAAAAAAAGGGTACACTAGGAAACACACACACAGTATGTATGATTTGGAAGGATACTACGAGTTATGCTTTGGAAGGAAATAAGAAAGCAGTTGAGAAATAGGAAGTCTATTTCAGATAAGGGGAGCTAACATGAGAAACTTTTATGCCAGGATTACAGTCTTTTGTGTATATGTGCTCTAACCTGGGAAAATAGATGTTCAGGTTTATTCTTCTTCACTAGCATATACACCTCAAACTGTTTTTCTAGTATTGTATTTATTTGCCTTGTGCCGTTCACATTTTTCATGCCCAATTCCATTTTGATCATGAATATATAAAATGTTAAGCTGAAAAAGGAAGAAATGTAGAGCCGTGAAAATGAGTATCAGTGGTGCATGTACTTACTGAACTCATAAGCACTGCTTCTTTAGCATCGTGGGTGAGGCAACCCTAGGAAAGATTAAAAGCATGCCAAGCGGAGCAACTATTCATATTCGTTACGGTCTCAAAGTAGATCTCACAGAACACTGAGCTATGTTTGTCATTATGTCATTATCCCACTCTAACATATTCCACAAATAAAACACAAGGGAAAGGCTGAGACCTGAAAGAATTTTTTTAATGGTCATCTTTTAAAATTGAGTGAGGAGGGGAAAATATATACATGAATTCTTTCATTATTTTAGAGGAAACTATCATCTGTTTGGTTTCATTGTTTATTTGGTGAAAGGATTATGCTCTCATGGCTTCTCTTTTCTTTTGTAACAGAGCCATATTCATTTTTTCAGTGTCCCCTCCAGTTTTTGTGCATACTCACACATATTTTATGTACTCGGATTCATAATGTTCATGATATGCCCAAACACTTTATGTATAAAGTTTTCTTTTTTGTATAATCTGTCATCTCTAACAGATACTGGGAGTGTTTGTAGCTGTCAGCTCTCAACTGAGTCTGACTCTAGGCATTGCCTTCAGCTGAAGAGAGCTGCCGGCTCAAGATCCACCTGCCTCCGCAAGGGAAGCTGCTTTCAAAGATAGTTCATTTGGAAAGTGGGGAGTCATAACAAAAAGATACCTCCTTCTTGCCCCAGTCAGGGGCAATTCTGAAGAGATCAGCTGAGACCTCTGTTGTGATGGCTTCTGCAAGAGCAATTCAATTTTTCCCTCTGCCCCATCTACTTTCTTTACATTCTCACAGGGAAACAGTCTGGTAAAACTCCTCAGCTGCAAACATGTACTTACTACCTTTCATGAGAATGACCCAAAAGGCAGAGCTGAGAACCACAAAGGATCATTCTCAGGCCTTGAAACCTAATGAAGTTTGCCTGGTGGGATCACTGATCCTGAGCACACTGCCCAGGAGCCTGTCTGAGTGCAAATCTCCATGTTGGAGTCTGTTTCCTGGGGAACTAGAGCTACAGCAACATCGCAAACATTTTCCCATGCTGTAGCATAATCTTTCCACATAGTTCTCATTTAAGTGGCTGCTTAAAATTCTTCTAAGCAGAGCTATCATATTTTAACTGACTCTTTCCTTATAGTTGGACTGTTGGTTGTTGCCAATATTTTGTCTTTTTATAGGAGCATTCAATAAACAGCACTAAGCTGTTATTTCATGTTTTTTCTTGTTTTGAATTTTTTTTTTAAATCTCAGGTATGGGCAATTACTAAGATAAAGATATGAAGGATTTCAGTCTATTGTTCTTAAGAATTTATATAGTACTATAAGCCATAAGTCCAAGTGTAAGATATATTACCAGGAACACTAAGGAATTAGAACAGATTATTTTCTGTATTGTTGTGTTTTTGATCCAAGACTCAGCACAGGATGCCTGAGAAGCCCAAAATAAAAGGAGAACAGAGTAGTCTGCTATTAATTTGTGCAGCACTCTACTGTACTTGGCTGAGTAAATCAGTACCTACACAATGCCAGCATCTAGAGAGCAATAAATATTTGTTGAATAGATATTTGAATGAATAAATGCATATTCAGGTTCCTTTACATTTTAATTTAAATTCAAGAGGGCTCATTAATGGGGAAATGTAGATAATGTAGAAAATACGGACTGGATACTGGTAAGCCTTTGGTTTTAAGTTCTTAAATCATCACCATTCCAAAGCAAAAATGATGGTGGTAACAGCGGTAGTGCACGTGAGTATGTTAAATCCTCTTTTCTACAGAAGCTAGCACAGAAGGGACTAAAAAGAAGAGTTAAGGAAGAACAAAGTAACAGCCAACACAAGCACCAAGTCAACTAGATAACAACAGACCAATTTTCTAATTATCTCACCAGGACACATACCACAATTTCATGGAAAGGAGTGCCAGAGATTAGACGATATTAGTGAAAATCCAAACCTTTAAATTTGGGGAACAGTGAGGAAGGAAGGATGCTAAGTGGAACAAAATTTATCTAGTGAGATGCACTGGCATATCCTGCAGACACAGCATAAGAACCATTCCCTGTGCTCATTTTTTATAATGCACCAACAAGAATCACATCTCAGATTAGACTAGTCTCTTCAATGCATTGTGAGCACACCTTGCTCATTCCAACTTGTGTCCTGCCACTCACCCTCCTGAAATGCCCAAAGGAGAGCAGCCCCCACTGCAGAGTCATAAACAAACAAAGGCACTCCACTTCTTAGAGAACGAAGGCAAGAAAAATATGTGACATAGGAATGTTAAAAACACAAGCAGAAGCAGGAAGAAAACAGCACCAGAGACTTAGTTTATTCTTATAAATAGCTTAATAGGTAGACTTAGGGCTGTCTGAGCTAAAAGAGATATAAAACAAAGATGTCTGAATGTGGATCTTTTATTTTTTCCCATAAACTTTTAAGATTCCCTCAACACTATTTAATTCCTAAGGAAAACAGAAGGTTATATGAAAGATCTTTCTCAATATTTGAAAGCAAACAAAAATGCATTATCCAAAAGGTCAACCGAATCTAGTACTTGGCAGGAAAAAGATATTACAAAGCTATAAGATCTTGAATTCACACATGATGAAAGATGCCACATTCCTTTCAAAATGCTTCTTAAGTGTGCTTCAAAAAAGAGTCACAATTAAAGAAGCAAGCTGACTTTTCTCTTCTCAGCACATTCCTAGCCTTGCCAGTATATTATTGCTATTTCCTTTCTAGCTTGCAGAAGAATGTCAAAGGTCTACATAGTTTGTTTTTTTTCTATCCCACTAACAGTGAATCAGTTGGCTTGGTGCCCTAGAAGTCAAATAGATATTTGAGAAATTTTTCAGCCTTGTGACTATGGTAACCTTGTTCTAAGTAGAAATCTCCCAATGTAGGCAATCTTCATTTTAAACAACTGGACTATAGACTTCAATTCTGCTGTCTGTAGAGCTGACTACTAACATCCCTGTTTCACTACTCAGAACTATCCAAACAAAGACTTAGACAAATAAGAATAAAGTTAAGTCCAATAAAGTTCCTATGTGGAGATACCAAGATTTACTCCATCCCACAAATCCCTCCTATTTTCCCAACATTTATACTAAGGTGAGAGCAGGAACAATGGTCAGTGAATACCACTGTTACTTGAATTTTTGCCTCCTATTAACAGGACTAGATTCATTCTATTATTTAGTTGAAAATTTTGTTCCCAAAGGATCAGGACTATGAGGTCCATGACAGCATGAAAATGTGTATATGGGGCTGGGTGTGGTGGCTCACGCCTGTAATCCCAGCACTTTGGGAGGCCAAGGCAGGTGGATCATGAGGTCAGGAGATCGAGACCATCCTGGCTAACATGGTGAAACCCCATCTCCACTTAAAAAAAAAAAAAATACAAATATTTTTGTGGTAGCATGTGCCTGTAGTCCCACCTACTTGGGAGGCTGAGGCAGGAGAATCGCTTAAACCCGGGAGGCAGAGGTTGCAGTGAGCTGAGATCATGCCACAGCACTCCAGCCTGGGCAACAGAGCAAGACTCCATCTCAAAAAAAAAAAAAAACTAGAAATGAAAGTCTGTATATGAGTGTGTGCAGGAATTGTGGGAGTAGGTGGGGGGAGTTAAATCACATAGACAGAATACCTGATTATGTCCTGCATATGTTTGCTTAAAATTTTTAATTTCAAATAAATTTGAAATGTGAGAATAATTTACATAAGCCTCAGTATTTTTATGCAACAATTAAAGTTTTAAGGAATTATATATATTTATATATATATATAAAATATATATACACATATATGTATAATCTGAAATGAACACCATTTTTGAAACTGATCTTTTGTCTATTCCAACAAAAAGGGAAATGAATATCCATCATGTGCTTATGCTCTGACCTGTTATTAATTTAAAAATATAGGCAGTGGTAATAATTTTGACCATGTACAGCTATATTATCTTCTAAACAGTTGACTTTACACGCCTATTAGTTCAGTAAACACTAAACACCAACTTAGTGTGATGTCCTGCTTTAAGTGAAGATCCTGTGTAACTAATTCTACACAATGCTATATGGAGATACAGAATGTACTGCTACTAAATATAGAAATACTTTGATAGCACATTGCAATATTATCTAATGACTGATGACAGGCCATGAAAAATGATGCATACTGGCTATTTAAAATGTCAGGGAAGCAATAAAAAAATCAGAGTCTACAGAGGAGAATATGTCAATGATTGATGAGGCTTCTGAATTCAAGGAAAGTATTTGGGAAGTCCAAAATTATCATAATAGTAAAGGGATGACAAGAAGAAAGCTACATGTCCGTGTATAGATGTCACTCAATATAGTACCATGAAAATCGGTACCTTAAGCAATAGAAGTAGTCAGCAGTTTTATTTTTACTTTTATTCTTTGAAAATGTGATTTTATTCTTGAGCAATATTTTTCTGTGTAGAAGAAAGAAATGAAATGTTCTGGAACATACAGGAACCAATCACCTATTCTGGTATCAATTGCCCTGCAATAGGAGATAAACAGAGTGGGACTACGTTCAGACACTATTCCAATTTCATCCTTAATCTCCATATCACCAAATCACGTTATAAGGGAGACAGAAAACAAAACTTAAGGAAAATAAACTCCACAGATAGACTCCAATCTGGACACTAATTATATAGAATTTGATGCATTCATAGGTGATACTAGGAATTTATAGCAGCATAAAAATACGCTGCAAACTCTTAAACTCACTTATGTTTGTTATTTTAGTTAGTTTTGTGGTGATGTCCGTTTGTTTTTAATTGGGGATACAACCCAATAAAAACAAAGTTCCTTTGGACTTATAATATATTTTAACTTTATTCAATCATTTTTGGAAATGTTTATTTTGATATAAGTTTAAACTTAGAGAAAAGTTGCAAGAATAGTATAAAAATTCTCATATTCATCTCGTTTCACCATTTGTGAACAATTTGTGCCATTTGCTTTCTTATTCTCTCTCATTCCCCCTTCTCTTTTGCTACACACACACATACACACGTATACACACACACACACCCACACATCATTTGAGAGTAGGTAGCAGACATTATGCCCCTTCATCCCTAATACTTCCTTGTATAAAAATGTACACTTTGACACAATACTATCTTCTAACCCACAATCTATATTCAAATTTTGCTCATTGTCCCAATGATATACCTTATAGTTGTATTATTTCCTAGTCCGAGATCCAGTACAGGATCATGCTTTGCATTTGTTTTTCTTGTGTCTTTAGTTTCCTTTCTTCAAGAATACTCCTCAGTCTTTATTTGTCTTTCAAACAATAATCCTTGGATAGCTACCCCTCCAGGGCCTCTGGCCTTCCTGCTGTGGTTACAAAGAGTTAAATAGGCCCCAAAGAGTTAAATGTAGGTACCTGACCACTAGGTACCTACATTCAAGTCAAAGAGAAAGACATGTAAACAATTAGGAAGCACATCATGAAGTGTGCATTAATAGAAGTATAAGCTGGGTTCCTCCTATTTTTATCAGCTCAAAACCCTTGCTCTCTAGATCTGTTTTTCTATCTCTCATTTGGAGTCAGAAAAATACTTTCATACCCAGAATAAATATTGTCAGTGCTCACTCTGGCAGCACAGACACAGAATAATCATTGGCAAAAGGTATTTATAAAATATTTTTGGCCAGGTGAGGTGCCTCATGCCTGTAATCCCAGCACTTTGGGAGGCCAAGGCGGGCGGATCATGAGGTCAGGAGATCGAGACCATCCTGGCTAACGCGGTGAAACCCCATCTCTACTAAAAATACGAAAAAATTAGCTGGGCGTGGTGGCGGGCACCTGTAGTCCCAGCTACTCGGGAGGCTGAGGTAGGAGAATGGCATGAACCCGGGAGGCAGAGCTTGCAGTGAGCCGAGATTGCACCACTGCACTGTAGCCTGGGCGACAGAGCAAGACTCCATCTCAAAAAAAGAAAAATATATATTTTTTAATTCAGGGAGTTGGCCAAAATAACATACAGTACCATGTAGCAGTATATACTAATACATAAACACAGGGTGTTGTTTTTTTTTTAGGAAACAGAGGTGGTTCTTTTAATGGAAGATGTGTCACAATTACCACTTATTTTTGGAAACAGAGAAAAATGCAACATGGTAAAAAGAGCGGTACTCCTTTCCTGTAGTTTAAAAAACTATATTCAAATATAGCTGCAAGCATTTGTTGGCTAAGCGATTTGGAGTAAAGTACTTACACTCTGGGTCTAATTCCTTCATCTGTAAAATGGAAATAATAATACCTAATTATAGACTTTAGCAAGGTACAAAATAGTATACATGAAAAATCCTTACAAATAGTAAAGCATATATAATTTATACATGTGTATACATACATATGTATACATGTATGTGTATGTATGTACTTATGTATATAGGCATATATGTGTATGTGTGTGTATATGGAGAAAAAGAAAACAACAGCAAGAGAAAGCTTAAGTATGCATTTGATTTGTGGATTTTACTTCCACTTCTCTTGGGATGGCTCTCTTCTAGTGGTCACACTCAAGCAGCTTTGCATTCTGTCCACTGAGTAGAAAAGTTTTATACCTCCTGCCATGTGGCCTTCCCATTAGCTTCTATGCTGACAGAGCCAGGACAGCAGAGACGACATCAGCCTTACTCACTCTCAAATCTTCATGGCCAGCACAGGCCTGGCACATGGAGGTATTCAAAACACACTGGTGGGATGATGAACACCACTCGGGACTTTGTCTAGCCCAAAATACAATGCTACAGCCTCACTGTCTCCTTTCATTCATCTTAAATAAATCCAGAGTAGCAAATGCTACTCAGACATCAGTGGAGAAACCAGAACTTTCATTAACCTCAACCTCCTCCATATTAAAGTGAAGGTTAAAAAAAAAAAAAAGTTCATTTCTGGAGCTCTAAATCCAGAAATATCAGTGAAACAGCACAAATACTACAGTCATATAGAAATCCTATGAGTTGCTTAAATGGATTTAAGAATATTATCGTTAACATATTATTTAAGCCCTTCACACTCTTTTACATTCCACTGGCTTATTTTTCTTCTCTTTTCTTTTTTGTTTTTTTGAGACAGAGTCTCACTCTGTTGCCAAGGCTGGAGTGCAGTGGCACCATGTCGGCTCACTACAACCTCTGCCTCCTGGGTTCAAGCAATTCTCCTGCCTCAGCCTCCTGAGTAGCTGGGATTACAGGTGCCCATACCAGGCCTGGCTAGTTTTTATATTTTTAGTAGAGATGGGGTTATCACCATGTTGGCCAGGCTGGACTCGAACTCCTGACCTCAGGTGATCCACCCACCTTGGCCTCCCAAAGTGCTGGGATTACAGGAATGAGCCACCGCGCCCGGCCCCATTGTCTTATTTTTCTTCACAGCATGCATCACTCTGAAGTTTTCGTATTTGTTACTTGTCTGTAGTTTTTTACTGCCTGGCTGCCCACTTGCTGTTTTCTCCCTGATGATCACCAGTACCTAGAACAGTACCCAAAAATACAAAATATTCAATAAATATTTGTATTGATGGAACAAAGTACTTAAAAACTATTCCTTTAATAGGGCAAATATTTCCTCCACAATATTATATACAGACGTCTGTGGATTAATCAATCTTTTCCTGCAGTTAATATAACAATATACTAGTCCAGCTGAAACCCTAGTGATCATTTAGAGCTCTGAATTAAAGAAATTGTATAAATTTGCAGTAAGTTAGAGTTGCTTGACTACTAAATTTGGCAACTGGAATATTAAGCTTAAAAATAGCACTAAAGCAAAAATGTACTGACAAATTAAGAGAAGTAAACACGTTTGGCAGATTTGAATTGTTGCTTTTTATTAAAATGTAAGATTGAGAATAAGAATAATGAAAATAGAAAGGTTATAGAAACAAACCAAAAAAAAGAGGTTAATGAAAAACAGTCTGAGGTACTAGAAGTGAATGAAGAGGTGAATGAAGTCTCATAAAATGGTGTGGGGAAGTACACAGAACCAGAAGACAGAGAATGAAAAGCAGAAAAATTATGGCAATTGGGTATTTTCAGTCAACGTTTTCCTGGGCACTAATCGCTCAGTGGAGTAACTCACAAGAGTCAGGATCATTTGTCACTGTTCTGCTTGTTCTCTGGCTGAAATCCCTTGATATCTTCTTCGCAAAGATCCTAAAATGACTCTGCTTTATGAAAGCTCACAGACAAGTATAAACTTCCCTTTCCTATTGCAGCAACAAATTCTATTGCCCACTTTATTTTCTCCCTAGGGTAACACTGTCCTCTCGGAATTAATAGGATTTCTGATCCTAACAATAGTAATAGTGGACAGGAAAGTGTTATCTAAAGCTCTCAAGTAAAAAAATCTAGCAGTAACCAGGCATTTTATGAAAACAATGCATGACCCACTATTTCTGACATTAGTTTGAACAAAACCCTATTGCATGTCATTGTGGAATTAATGACATGGGATGAATAAAGGGAGGGATTTATCTAGAACTAGGTATGCCCACTTATACATAAACAGGAGAAAATCAGAAAAAAATATGATATTCTAATTGGGTGATGCAAATGATGGCAGTCTAAGCCAGTAATCTAAGCCAGCAGTTATCAGCATGAAGGAGATTTGGCAAAGAGATACAGAAAAGGCAAAAGGGAGGCAGGAAGGAAGGAAGGAATGAAGGGAGGAAAGGAGGGAGGGAGGGAGGGAGGGAAGGAAGCAAGGAGGGAGGGAAGCAGGAAGGGAGGGAGGGAGGGATAAATACAGAACATCTAGCAAAAGATAAATACAGAGCATCTAGCAAGAGACATTAAGCATGTATCTGGAAGACAAAAAGCAATGAATGAAAGCAGAGCACCAGTTCCTGTGTGGGATTCAGAAATAGAACTAAAGTCCTGAAGAGAAGTAGGAATAAGTCAAAAGAATTGAGTGGAGTACAAGGCAACAACCCACTTTCAGAAATAAGACAGAAAGAAACACAGGATTTTAAAGTACCAACTAACAGTAGAGGTGACTTGGTATCAAATATCCTAAGAATTGACTACAGTTTCTTAAGCATCCTTGCCCAAGAGCAGGATTAGCCTTGGAGTTAAATTGTTAAAAGTCATGGGTGCATACTAAAATTATCTAGAGAATGTATTTTTAAAATACAAAGTTCTGGTCTCTGCCCTAGATATGATTAATCAAAATATCTGGGTATCATGTCTATAGGCCTCTTTTATTTCTTAATGTCTCTCGATGATCCTACTGTACAATCACTTGTGGAATGTAAGGTCCACTGATCTAGAGTCTAGCATAGACATAAGCATTTTTGGGATTAGGATTCAAATCAATAATGCAATCATATTTCCCTAGGAAGAATAAAAGCATAAATGTATAAATATCAAAATTAAAATTGATATTTTCAGAGTTGGTTTTTCCTCTTTTACTTATCTGGCTCTGGACAATGTTCAATCCTGACCATTATGTAGGAGTCAGGAATTACTTCAGTATCCTTGCTTATGAAAATCACATGCGTTTCTTGTTTAGTTGACTTCTATATATGCTCTACCAGTTTATTTTCATGCCTGTTACCAACACTGGAGGTTCTCCCTCCATTCCATCAATGAGTCATGTCTTCTGTGGGGACCTACACTGGTTCTTCTAACTGCCCTTTTCTACCTGGGAAATGAAGCCTAGTCCTCACATCCCATACCATTCCCTACCACCCAACAATCTCTCTACCCAACCTGATCCTATCTACAACTTCTTTCTTCATACTAGAAAACTTACCATTTCTCAAGGTTAAGATCAGACTTTGTGGAAATATAGGAAAAAACCACAACAGACCAGGAATTGGAAGTTTGGTCTCAAACTTATTAGATTTGAAAAGATGTCACTTTAGGTACTACTATGAGTAACAGAAATGGGAAAAGAGCACTCCAAAACACCTATAAAAATCACCCATGATACATAAGAGTCCATAGCTACCCTGATGGAAAATTTAACATATGGAAATCTTTAACTGAGCAGACTCAAAGAAAATAAGAGATTAATATTTTTGCTTTTGAAAAATGGGACTAACAGTGGGATCATAAGGGGAATTTACCATATATAAAATGTCTTAATTTAAGTAACATCTTTATTGTGACACATAAAACTCTACTCATCAGATTAATTTAAATAAATTACAATAGAAATGCTGTCAAAAGTACTTAAAATTGACTGAAGAACCGAACTCAAGACTAGTAAGAACAACAACTCATCTAGCATAGAACCCAGGATGTTTGAATTTAACTCTAATCTTACTTAAATTTTCACTAACTGTCAGAAGAATTAAACAGAATGCTATTAAAATTTGTAGTTGAGTCAGAGTTATGCATCAAAGAACAATGAAAGCAGAGAGATAACACAATGGACAAAAACATCAGCCTCATGAATGGGAAATAATTCATTTACTTAACAAAAGTCTTCTAACACAAAAGAAAAGGGTTGGGGGAGAAAGGAAGGTGGTATGCTCACTTGAGCTAAAAGATTCAAAGAAATAAAGACAAAAAAAAACAGTATTTCAAAAAGCAAATGTGACAAGTCACTATAAATCTGCTCCATGAGATGGCAACAAAATAAGCTATGAGTTTGACATATGAAGTGATTACAGGCCCACAATCATGTTTCTCACATAGTAAGGGAAGAATAATCTTCCTTCTAACTCAGAGAAAAAGCAATAATAACAATTACTGTTTGGTAACAGAAGCAGTTGAGGGGTCAATAAGTAATGTAGCAGGCTCTACCATCACAGCCTCATAGTTCAAACACTGCCCTCCCCAGAGGCTAATGGTGTGACCCCATGCAAGCAGCCTGACCTAGCTGTGCTTCCATTTCTTCTGCTCCAAGTCAGAGCTAAGTGTTTTTGTTTTGTTCTGTTTTGTTTTATCCAACTAAGGAGTTTTGCAGATTTTAAATGGCAGTAATACTATCTTTGAGAAAACAAAAATAGAAGAGTTTCTAAGAAATTTGAGAATTTTGTTATGAGAATGTATTGAGTAAAGGAGCTTTAGTTAAGTGAGTTTGACTCACTGGCTGTTGATAGTGTTGAAAGGAATCTTAACTCAGGCAAGCTGGGGGTTAGGAGAGCATAACGATATTAACAAAGACCATTTGTGGACATCTTATATTTCAACACCTTCAACAAATGGGACCCTGTTGGTTATATCACCTCAAAGTTACACTGAAATTCCTAAAATATTTCATTTCCCAGTGAATAAATGCTGAATAACTTCATTCCAGGAACTTATTGTTACTAAGCAAAAGAGAAAGAGTCTACCTATTACAGTAGTATCATGGGCAATCATTGCTATCACTAATAAATTTTTAAGCAGTTTCTAAATTCAGTCATAATATCAGGAAAAGTATTTAGAATGACAAAACCAGAAAACAAAATTCTTAATTATAATTGGTATATGCAGAAATTATAAAGAGATAACAGGTGCTGCTTTTGTTTATTAAAACTTCAAGGAGGAAGGCACATGTATTAGAATGGCTAAAATCTAAAAAATGGAAAATACCAATTTCTGGAAAGGATGAAGAGCAATAGGAAGTCTCATTCATTGCTTTTGGAAAGGCAAATGGCTCAGCCACTTTGTAAGACACTTTGACAGTTTCTTACAAGGTTAAACATAGTCCAACAATTGCACTCCTAAGTATTTACCTAACTGATTTGAAAATGTAGTCTACATAAAAACTTGCAAGTGAATGTTTTATAGCAGTTAATTCATAATAACCAAACATGTAAGGAACCAAGGTATCCTTCAATTAATGAATGGATAAGCAAACTGTGGTACATGTTAAATGGAATATTTTTCAGGGGGGTGGGGGGAAAGGAATGAGCTCTCTGCCAAAGACATGGATTAATCTTAAATTCACATTTCTAAACAAAAGGAGCCAGTGAAAAGGCTATATACTATATGATTACATTTATATGACACTCTGGTGAAGGCAAAACTATAGCATGGCAAACAGATCGGTACTTGCCAGGGATTTGGAGGTGACATGCGGTTGAACAAGTGAAACACGGGATTTTTTTTAGAAGAGTGCAAGTATTTGGTATGATGTTATAATGGCAGTTATATGACATTATGCATTTTTCAATACCCATAGAACTTTACAGCAGAAGAGCTAAACTTACTGTATACAAATTTAAATGTGTGTGTGTGTGTGTGTGTGTGTTTAGGAGGTCAAAGTATCACAGGATGGAAGACTATAATAAAAGAATCTAGCTGTATTACAAATATATGAAAAAAATCTTACTGGAAGTGGTGGGGTAGAAAGGTGCTTACCTAAGTAACCCTGGATATGAGTGGACACTATAAAGCTTTATACATAACTACATACTCCCAAACTGCCCATAGGCACTGTATTTTAGTTGATAAAATTGTTTCCCCTGGGAGTTTCTGTTAACAATTCTGAAACAACTATAAACGTACACTGGAATTGAAGAATTCAGTAAATGGATGGCTAAAGGGAGTCAGGTTTCTCCTTGTTAGAAAGAAGGATATAGACAAGCAAGAGGGAAAGGTTAGAATGATCCATATGGTAATGGAGTAAAGTTGGAGACATCAGTATTAACTCATATTTAGCATATGATGAATACATATAAAAATGTTTATAGATGGGCATATATATATGAGTTAGTCTACACACATATATTCTCTTGCTCTGTCAGCTGAGAGGGCGTAGAAGCAAAACACCCCAATAGCAATGAGTACAACCAATGCCCAGGTCATGGTTTCCAATACCATTCTCCAATAAAAGGTATCAGGGCTCCTGAGAGAAATGGCTCATTCTAGACAACTGGGGCAGAAAGTATGAAAGATGAGTCTGGAACATCTTATAGTGCTGGGAAGTAAGGAAGTGCTCAAAACACACTATGAACACACAGACACACACAATATGGGCATATGTCAGGCCAATGATGGGCATATTGCCACATACCAAAGCAAACAGGAAACAAACAAAAGATCTGACCAGTACACTTGAAAACTGTCAAGGTCATCAAAAACAACATAAGTCTGAGAAATTGTCATAGATAAGAGAAGCTATGGAGATAAGTCAACTAAATGTAATGTGAAATGAAATCCTGGAACAGGAAAAGGTTAAAAACTAAGGATATTGAAATAAAGCATGGAATTTTGTTAATAATAACCTATCAATATTGTTTTATAAATTGGGACCAAAGTACCATATTAATGTATGATGTCAAATGGGGAAAATGGGTGTGGGATATATCATAACTTTCTGTGCTATCTTCACAGCTTTTTTATAAACCTAAAACTACATTAAAACTTCATTTAAAAAAAACTTAAAGGGAAACGAAAAATAAACACCAACCTACTGAAGAGTTCAGAAAAGAGAACAAAAGACAACCTGAAGAATTTAGGAATCTGAAGGGTTGTTCTCCCTTCACACAAAGAAGAGGTGCTAGACAGAAAGCTGCTAGTGATAGCGAAACAATGCTTTAGAGACACAGAAACACAAATTTAAAATTAAGAAAAAGGACTGCCATGTTCTTCCAGCAAAAAAGAAAAGCTATGTCTGGAGAAATTTAGCAGGACAAATGGGAAATAGTCTGTCACAAGATTCAGAAGAAGATGTTCCTAAAAGAGAAAAAATATCTAGGAGAAGAGGGAAACTATGCCACATTCCACTCAATATCCAATAACCAAAAATGGAAAGAATCAAGGTATCCTTCAATCAATGAATGGATAAGCAAACTGTGGTACATGTTAAATGGAATATTTTTCAGGGCAGTTGTGGGAAAGGAATGAGCTCTCTGTGAAAGACATGGATTAGTCTTAAATTCACACTTCTAAACAAAAGAAGCCAGCGAAAAGGCTACATACTCAATATCCTTGTAACTTATAAAACTGACTTGTATAACTTAAGGATATGTTTGTATTATAGTGTTTATCCTTTACATATAGGAAGCAGTGTCCATATACAATGGTCTCATTCTTTCTCAGGACTATCTACTGTATCTAACTATCTCAGGGAAAGTATGTAAGCAGAGAGCAGAATACAGAAGTTGTCTCTAATTTACACAGAGCCACTACCTAAAGTCTCTGTTTAGGAATTGTTTAATAAGATTATATGATGATATTCTTAAACTTTTCCATTAAAAGAAATCAACAACATCAGAAACACAGCCTTTTTGCAGGTTTTGTGCTGGCCTAATGATGTCTAACACATGAGGCCAGCTACGTAGCAAGATCAGCTTGAAATATGAGCAAAAAAACTGTCACAGTGTTTACTATAGCATAGCTATGAAACCACGTTTGTGTTGTGATGGGAAACACCATCACCCTTAGTTAGCATTTTCAACACCTAAAATCTAAAGAACAATCCTAGTTTCTAAACTGAAATGATCCAAATTGCAACACAACTGAACTTTCCTCAATACTGACAAGAAGTTTGTCTCATACAAGCAAGTATCCCAAGTACATTTGAAAGAGCAAAGCACTAAGCAAAATGTGACATCATGACGATTCTAAGAATTCAGAGAACTGGAAAGGTGGTGTGTAATTAGCATCAGAGGAGTGATGACACAGTCAACAACTCTGGAAGGCAGCACAAAGTAATGAGAAGAACATGAGGTTTGGAATCAGACTGAAATGAATTTAAATTCTGCCTCTGTGGCTTGTTAACTCTGACCAAAGATATCAACAAGTTAGTTAACCTTGCAAAGTATCAGTTTTCTCACCTAAAAAAGTAAGCAAACCTTCTGCATCTGATGCAAACATTATTTGGGGAATACTCAATAATAATAAAAGCAAACATTCATGTTCCATTTGTTTGTTATATACCATGCTGTTCTAAGTATGTACTTGATATAAATTAACTCATTTAATCGTCTTGGCAACTCTAGGAAGTGTGCAATTATATTATCTCCATTTTGCAAATAAGAAATATGAGGTAAGGAAAGATGAAGTAAATCATTCCAGTTCGTGCAGCTAGTAAGTAGCTGAGATGCATTTTCAACCCAAGTAGTCTGGCTCCAGTCTTGCTCTAAATCACTACATTATAGTAACATTATTAAGTTATTTCCCCTTCAACCGCCTTAATTCCAATTCATTCTAGTAAAATACTGAAAATATTTACTTTTAATGAAAGAGGAAATTGATCAGTTACCAAGTTATAGTAACAAGAACTATAATGGCAGAAGTTATTTATTGCTATTAATCTTAACTCACCAATAAATATGGTAAGTTGTTACTACACTAACTAGTTCTCCAAGATAACAAATATGTTAAACATATTCTTATCTACTAAACAATTATATTATTTAGAGTTATTCCCAGAAAATCTCCAAGTTAGTCTTAACCTAACCTTAAGCTAATTCTTCACAATTTTATGACTAATTAAAAGGCTCCTAAATACACATTACAAATCACAGTGAAACAAAAAAGTATATACAAGTTGACATATAAGCAAAAAATCATTACTTATAAAAAAACAGAGAGTTCCATACCAGCTAAAGATTGTGGAATCAGTGGCATCTTATAAATGATTTCACAGTATTTCAGGATCCCTGATACTAAGAAAATATTGTGAGGAATAAGCCCCAAAGGTCATTTCCTCTATCCTCCTTACTAGCCCTCTCCCAATAAAATAATCCCATGATAAGCATTGCTCCCATTCTGACTTAAATGTGTTACATTTTTAGAGAAGATAAAGCAACACTCTGACAGAGAGAGACCTTTAAAACAGAGAAAACATCAATGAATATCTTTTCAGAACTATGCACTTCCTGACTATTTTGAGAGGAAATGCACTTAGCAAGGGCAGTATAAAACTATACTTTGAGCAATACTTAGCAAATAACTGATGCTTCCTAAACCTGCAAATCTTTATATGCTATAACTCCTCAGTAAATGAATTAACCTAGAGCTCTCATTTCTATTTGTTCTCTAAACTACTGTGGGAAGTCTTTTTCCTACACCCCAACTCCCCCATCTGGTAGCTCCTTAAAGCTCTACAACAACTGAAACACCCACAACACCCTTAATAGTATTAGAACTTGTTAAAACTGAAATAGTCATAACCTCATTTATATTTAACTTATTATGACAAAGGAGACTATGCAATTTATCATCCTTCTCCCTTAACTCTCCTACTCACTTTGTCTCCCTGCCTACAACACTATGTAAACCCAATCCATAAGAACAAGTAGCAACATTTCAGCAGAAAACATGGTACACATGCTTTAATACATGCTTCATCATACCATTCAACCATTACAATTTCCAAGAAAATACTAAATGTTGCCTCATAGAGCATAAACACATTTCTACTATTTAATTTGAGCTAAAAATAGGCTTTGCAGATTAGGGCTAGAAAAGATTTTCTATTTTTTGGACAACTAAAATTAGATCATTTTGGTATGCAAAAGACATTATGTACCAAATAAAGCAATAAATTTAACTCTAAAGTCCTCCAGCAGGGAGGGCACTGTCTACTATCTTTCTTTGCATGGCCAGAGTTTCAAGGGCCCAGCCTCCATTATCACAGCAATTGGCAAAGCACCAAAATATGGTGAAGAGATGGCAAGAAACAGACCATAATCAATATCCGTAATTTGTAAATGATGAGACAGAAAATAGAAACAACCAGTTTCTAAACCAACGAAAGGGAAACAGACATCAAACATTTTGATATCTGGAAGCAGTTCTTTCCCATTACTCCAGAGGCATGAAACACCTTGTAGGGCACAACATGTGCTCCCAGGGAGTCCCATGGAAGAGGTGAGAGAACAAATGAGTGACAGAGGCATAACAGGTCTTCTCCAACTCACTTTCTCCCTCTCCTCAGGTCCTCGTTTTTATTCCATGCCACCCTCTAAATGCAAACTTCAACCTGAAGAGCCAGTAAATGACCAAACTTTCTAGAGGAGTTGTTTATACTAAGTAGGTAGAAATGCTCATTTTGGAAGGAGAAAAATTGCTACTATGATCATATCTTGTGATCTATGACTTCAAGTCTTTTTTGATGATGAAGTATAAATAATATACAAATAAGTGAATAAACGAACACATTTCCAGACTCTAATACAACCCTGTAATAGGTTAAGAAGGTAAGAGAAATATATGTTTGCCAATCTCAGTCCACCAATATTCTAATCACACTCCCCAAAGGTGATAAATATAAACCATGGAGTTGGAACACTGCCTTCTGCCATCCAAAAAAAAAGGTTCCCAGGCATCAAAATTTTTCTTATCTTGGTTGAAATGTTGTTTTCCTGTGCCACCCCCCAACAACCTCCCAAAAAACAATTTATGTCATGCTTTTCTGTCCAGTAAGCTGACCAATTCTTTCATTCTCATATATGATTACAGAAGAGAATTTAAACACAACTTTAAAAAAAGATAAAAATCTAAACAAGCCAAGATTAATCATAGCTCAGTGACTTCTTAAAAACAAAGCTTTTATTGAATATGACCGCTAACGCTGTCCTCAGAGAGTCAATATATCAAGAGTTCTAAAAAGACATTATTCAAGGAGAACAGCTACCTCTGTGCCAGCATCTGGTTGACAGGTGGCAGGCATTAAATGTTAATGTTAATGTTAATCTTCAGAAATTTAAACTTTACAAGATTGTGCTTTAAATCTTGAAAACAACCTATCATTACTTAGAGGAAGAAAATAATCAGACCTAGTATCTCTTTTGTAGAAAAAGTTACTATTCATGGAAATCTAAACCCTGTTACATGATCACCTTCTAAGTTATAAACACTGCACTCACCCTAATGTCATCAGGCAGCACACTGCCTGCTGTTCTTCTCACTCACTACTTATCCAACATCTTAGGGCAACCTTCGAAGGGCAACTAAGCTGTGCTGGGCCAACAGTGTCCCCTGAAAACCATTTCAAATTGACCCAGGGTTTCTCTCCGTGGGAATTGTGCACACTCATTTACAAGCCACAGTCCAACTGCCTTTAGCACCCCAATATAATCATTATCTTTGAACACCTCCTATTCCCTCTAACTCAGTGATTCTAAAAATAGGGAGCATAAAGAAGAAAGACGTGAGGGTCAGGAAAGTGTTTAGAAACTGGATAAGAAGCAACTTCTCAAAATATTAAACATCCCTTCACTGAGATTCTGATACATCCCTTTTAGTGTGGCATCATCACCCCACCCCTTGAAATCACAATGCATTAAGAGAAATGTATGTTACTGAAAGGAGAGTCCTTGAAAATATAAAATCAGAAAACTTTAAACAACTCTTGGGTAATGTCTCTTTTAATCCCATCCCTTATTTTCTCCAGTCATAAGATTTACTTGGGTATTGTGACATCCCTGCAGTTGTTCTAAGATTAAGGTGATGAATCTTTGGCCTCCTTTTCACTACCCATCACTGTCCTGCATGCTGTTATAGACAAACCACTAACATCTATATGCATCCCCTCACAAAAGGTATACATTTTCTTATTATACAATTTTGTGTTTACAAAAGTTACCTAGGATGAAAATGTAGCCAACCGGCAGCTGGATTCCCAGCTTGAATGTAAAAGAAGTCTACCTCTAGAAGTCTGACATGTTTAGAAAATCTGATAGACCCTTGGGTTGGGGTAACCTGGAAACTGTTTGTAGGAGAAACTCAGATGCCTCCAGGGAAAATACTATAAAGGAAAAGAAAGAACATGCAAACTGGTTTGCCCTATTGTCCATCACCTGACCCCAAAAGAGATTCTGCATTCTGTGTGGAGTCGCTCACTAAGATTTATTATTCCCCACTAGCACCCTCCAGCACCCCATGGATTCCTATCTGGGTCATAAAGAAAAAAGAATTCCAAAAAGAACTTAAAGAGAAATTTCTCACTAGAAACATCTGTAAGACATTAGGAAAAAAAATATTTCTTTTAGAATACATTGCATGGAATACAATGTAGCTCTCACACACCAAGAACGTCAGGTAGTATGGTAGTACAGCTCAGTTATGGTAGCTTACGGCTGTATAATTGGCTGCAATTTACAACAGTACCTTTTAGCCATGTTGGAGCATCCAAAAACAGCCCCTCTGTCATAAGTACAAATATCTTTAAGATGGACACTCCCCTAACCCCAAGTAGGGCACAGACACCTCAGGAGATGACCTGCTTCACTGACAAGGCCACAGAAAGGAACATTGGATTGTAGAGTGTTAACAGTACCTGTGGGCCACCCTTCTGCCCCAACCAGGACCTCCCAGAAGTAATAGAGTATGACTGAGAGGAAAAAAAGATCCTACAACTTTAGCTGAGAATAAGGGCCAAAGAAATATGGATTATACAGAGCTAATACTATTCACATGTGAATATCTGAAATTGTTTCCCTGGAATTTAAGTATTTTTGTTTTGATGTTTTTCCATCTCTAAGTAAGTGGCATGCAAGCAATTTCCACTCAAACATCTTCAGGAGAGTTAACACCCATCACTTCACAAGGTCTGGGTCTCAACTTGCCATATTCTCCACATCTCTCTTTGGTAGAACATGAAACACTTCCACCTCGACTTTCCCTCTCTTTCATTCTCTCTCATCCATATAAATATATATAGTTAATATACCGAGTATATTAGCAGTACACTGAAGAATTCCTGAGACATCTTCAATTTCTTCTTTGTTGGAGTGGTCTGCATAGGAGCATCTGTTAGAGATATTGTGGAAATTCTTTTCTGCATCCCTGTAACTAAGAAGAAAACAAAATTAGCATAAGGAGAAATTTTTGAAAGCATCTGCGAATGCAACTCATATACACACGCACAAGCACACGCAGTCTATGCTTTCATCATAGTCACATTTTAAAATAAGTGAAGCTTTGAGACATAATTCTGGCATAACCCACCATTCACATCAGCATTTGCAGTGTAGACCTGGAACTGGAGGCAACTGTTAACAAGAAAGCTATGTGTGAAAAAAATTGAAGAGAACAAAAAATATATCAGCTTTGTACAGCTAATGTATCACTCTGAGAGCACTTCATCAAGGCTAGTGATCTGTTTCTATAAGGAAGCTGCCTAGAAAAGGAAAAGTTAACAATGTTAATTTGGTGTCCTGGCATTCAATGGTGTTGAAAGTAAACACACCATAACTTTTGTCACAGTCAAGAAGATAGCAGTATAGGCCGGGTGCGGTGGCTCACGCCTGTAATCCTAGCACTTTGGGAGGCCCAGGCGGGCAGATCACGAGTTCAGGAGATCAAGACCATCCTGGCTAACACGGTGAAACCCCGTCTCTACTAAAAATACAAAAAATTAGCCGGAAGTGGTGGCAGGCGCCTGTAGTCCCAGCTACTCTGGAGGCTGAGGCAGAAGAATGGTGTGAACCCAGGAGGCGGAGCTTGCAGTGAGCCGAGACTGCGCCACTGCACTCCAGCCTGGGTGACAGAGTGAGACTCCGTCTCAAAAAAAAAAAAAAAAAAAAAGAAGAAGATAGCAGTATGGTGTATAAATAACATACACCTGGCAGAATTTGAGTCATGGTCTTACCATTTTCTATCTGTGAGATCTTGAGCAAGTAACCTAATCTCTGTTAGTCTAAATTTCCTCTCTCATAAAATGGAGGTACCTTCTAGAGTTCTTGTGAGGACTAAATAACACAATGCCTGTAACTGGATATTGGCTGGGACTTTTTGAGTTGCCTCTGAATGAGAGCTAAGACAAAAAAGCTGAGGACATTAAAGGCCAAATCCTCCCACATTCCAAAGGGGTAGCCAAGAAGACCAGAGCTCTTCTTCAGGACTTAAGAGGAGACTAAACAGCCACTGCCCCTGTCACTCTACCACCAGCTTACAGAAGCAAAAGAACAGAAAGACTTCAAAATAAAATCTTCAGAAGAGTGAGGAGTTGGCCTAGGAAGAGAGTGCTATGGTACTTTTCCCCCTCCCCTCCTAGAAAAGGAGAAAAGGGGAGTGTTCCCTGCAGAAGTCCAGTTGGTGAGGGGGGTCCACAGCTGGTAGAGATTGGGGATTACCCATCTCATTCCCCAGTGAACATCTGCAGAGGCAGTGGATTTCCTGATCATACTCCCCTGTCTGACTGATAAGAGGAAGAAGACTCTGGAGAAAGTTATCGACAAGGAAAAGAAATAGAGCAAAATTGGGAGCAACCTAAAGGCCCACCGTTTGGCAGGGCAAATATGTGAATTTCCCATGGGTTAGGGAAGAGAGAGGCAAGCTTGAGTTGTCTGGTTGTCATGGTGCTCTTCCAATCTAGAGGCTGCCAGCCAGGGACAGGGCTCCCACTAGCAAGACCACGAGAGTGAAGTCCTTAGGTGCAGGAGCTGGGGCATCCAAAAGTGTCAGGGCGGAACTCATACATGCACCCTAGTGAGGGCATGACAGCCAAGAGAGGACTGCTACAACCCCAATGAAATTTTCCATTTTCCATTTCATTCATGCCTCACCCAATACATCCGAAGAGAAAGGGACACAGAAAAGAATGGCCTGGAGAAGAGGAGTGAAAACCCACATCATACACTCTGTCCTGTATTCCAAGTCTCTTAGGCCAAGTCCTGACCCAGACAGAGAAAGCAACATTAGAGTCAGACTAGATATGAGAGTAAAAATTTAAATTGGTCTAGAGTGAACTTCATAATTCTTGGAAATACTTGGAAAACAGAGCAATCTGTCTAAGCTAATATCGAAGGGGATGTATCCTAGCATGCTTGATGTGAGTGGAGGGAAAAATAAAAAGGTTTCATGTTTGTACACCTCATTGAGATCAGACTCCAATAAACCAGTTAGGCAAAATGCTTACTACAGTTTCCAGAATGCAGGAGTCACTCAAGAGGTGGAACAGGGAGCACAGATGTTAAACACAGGCAACCCCACAGGGTTATTTTTAATTCAACCTCCACCATTTTTATCAGAATGACCTTAAAAAAGTACTTTTTTCTCTCAACCTCAATTTCCTCATCTGTAAAATGTGCTTAATACAGTACTCTTATGCAATATTTTTAGGATTAAATAAAAGATGGAAAGTGCCCAGCATATCTCCTCAAACATAGTAAGCAATCAAGAGATATTAGCTTTTGTCTAATTTGTTTATGTTCAAAAAGATACAGTTTTTTTCTATGTAAATATATAAAAAAGAAGCTAGATCATTTTTAGATTAAAATAAGCCACAAAATCTGATCATGAAAGCTTAAGTAATATCCTTGAAGTTTGTTTCTCAGAGTAATCAGAATTCACCCATTCTTAATTTCACTCTAGTGTTCTACTGAAATTATTCTGGCTTAATTTCTCCTCAATTGTCAAAAGAAAAAGAGAACAGAAGGTTGGCTGTATAAAACAAACATAGGGCCCACATTAATAATTGGAGCAATACAATTTAATTTTAGATGACTATAAGAATTGGTGTCCCAGACTAATATGAGTTTGGCAACAGTCCTATCCATGATATTAACACAGCAATGCTTATTCTGGCAAAAAAAAAAAAAAAGATAAAATTACTGGCATGGTTCTGAATACATATTTCTTTATTCTTTATTGTTTAAAATATATAGTGAGTGAACACTATATCTCAGAAAGATTATCACATCTCTCATAGTAGTTCACTGAAGAAATCTGTGCTTCGTCTACCCTGCCATGGCAATCCATTTTTGTGAGCCATAGACCAGTAGGAATCATGTAGTAGAAATATGAGTGAGAGCAGTTGGGTCAAGCCCTCTAGAGACAGAAATTTCAGTCAAAAAAAAAAAAATCAACGAAAAAGATGTTCTCTGTGAGAAGAAAACTGCAGTTAGAACACGAACTGGGCATGTTCACCACCAGATGCTAAACAACAGATTCTAAACTTTAAAAGGCCCAAGGAAGACAGGAAAAGGTTGCAGCAGGAGGATAAACTGAAGACAATCCACAAAAGTTGAATTGCAAAAGAGTCATTTACTAACAGTAGTAATAATAATTCAATTCATTTATTGATTATCTTTGTGTACCAGGTACTATGCTAACTACTTTATGTGATTATATGACTTCATACATTATTATCATTAAGATTTCATTTAAACTTCACCACAACCCTGTTATTATTCCCATTTTTAAAATGAGAAAACTGAGGCTCAGGTATTTTAAGTAACCTTCCCAAGATTATTCATAGCAAAACCTGACTATATGTCTAGTAAGTTTCATATGTCTACTTACAAAACACAATCTTTCCACAACATACAAAGAGAAGAAAGGGCACTATGGCAAGAATTATATCAGAAAAAAAGTACCATTATAAACAGACATTCCTCTATCCTCAGTTGCTTTTAATTTCTAAAGTGAATCCTGCCTGTCTGCTACTGACTTCTTCTGCTCCTCACTAATCTTTCCACCCCACACCACCCAGAAAGTTAGTCCATTCCCTAGAAGTTTGAGTTAAAGAGCAACTAACATAAAGATGCACATTCAATGCCCCCTTGCTCATTCTAGGTGGAGGAAAGACAGTGCTATGGGAACAAGAAGCTCTCCAAGTGAGCATGAATATGTAGAGTTTATATAGTAATCAAAATTTTCCACAAAGTCAACCTGACACGATTGGAGTTTGAGGTAGGTGATGGAGAGATACTTTAGACGGGGTGATCAGGGCAGGCTTTCCTGTAGAGAAGACATTTGAACAGAGACCTATATGTATATAAAGAATAAGCCGTGCAAACATCTGGGGAAAGAGCATTGCATAAGAATGAAACGATACATACAAAGGCCCTGAAGCTAAGGTTGGTAAGTTGAGAAACCAACAGAAGGTTGAAATGGAGTGAAAAAAAGGAAAGTGGAAAGGGATGAAATTACAGAGGTAGGCAGAGGCCAGATCACAGAAAGAATTTAGACTTTATTCTACCATAATAAGCCATCATATAGTTTAAAGCAGGGGGTTCAAAGTGTGATCCCTGGACAAGCAGCATCAGCATTACTTGGGAACTTGACAGAAATGCCAGTTTCTTGAGCCCTATCTGAACCTAGGAAATCAGAACCTCTGGGAGCAGGGCCCAGTAATACGTGTTTTAACAAGGCTGGCAGGTGATTCTGATGCACATTAACATTTGAGAACCATTGGTTTCACATAAGAAGGTGGCATGATGTAATTTTTTAATTGCTTTGCTGTGGTGAAAATACATATTGGCGGACAAAAGTAGAAACCAGAAAATTAGACCAGAATGTCTTGGTGAGAGATGATGACGATAGTGGAGATGAAGAGAAGATTTATCACATTGCATGAATAAATTATTTTAGCACTCATTTCCCCAACTTGAATGATCTCTATGAATAAATAAATGAACAAGTGAATGGATAAATTAAGGAACAGAATAATGTTTAAAGATAAAGTGGATAAAGTACAGAGAGGCTATCTTACTCCCTAACAGGAAGCCCCATCAGCTACTCCCTCCCAGTCCTTCTGTCTGTGACCCTTCGAAACAGCTGCTCTCCGCGTTGAAGTCTCAGTCTTGGCAGACACAAAAAGCCTCAGAGAGTTTCTATGGGCAACCAGTATAAGAATCCAAGGAGCAGAACCGTACAATCCTAGAGCTCTGATAAATAAAACAGATTAAGGGCAGAGTTTTCAAGGAAAGGAAAAGAAGGTTAGTGGTTGAAGGATAATTAAGAAATTAAAAAGAGAAGGGCTAGCTCATACTCTGTTACCTGTTCTGCTTCAACACCTCAACACAAGGTATTTAAATGCTGAGTTATTTCAAGACAGCTTTAAGCAAGCCCCATTTCAGAGATTAGGAAAAGCATCTCCTTCCCACCCTCACCTGCCAAAAAATAACTAAAATTATGCTTGTCGGCACTTACTCTCAATTCTCAATACAGGGATTTCAAAATCCCTTTAACTGTAAGAAACACATTCTTTTTCACAATTAGAGATAGGAAGCCTTAAATTGTATTTTCTTAAGAGGAACAACATACAGCTGTAAACACTTTTTAGTTCGAGGGTGAGTGATATTAGCTGCTCTGCTTTCTTGATTGTGAAAAGAGAAATAGAAAGTAGAAAGATGGAGAATAAAAGGCAAAAGAGGAAGTTGGACAGGAAAGTCATCAATGAGAAAAAAGGCAAGAAAGGGGAATACAGTCAAGAAAGGCAAACGTGACAAAATTGCTGCCAACAGGCCCCCTTTGTCTGCATCAGCATGAATGCAAATAAAGTCAGTGAGCAAAGGTACTTCAAGTCCAAGAAATCAGCCAACACCCAAGCAAAAATATGTTAATAGGCCTATTTGAATCATGCCAGACATCAAGACCCCTCTTTATACTGGAGTCAAACTCTCTGTTTTCTTTATACTGTGTATGCAATAAACAGAACTAGGAAAAGACCATTCATGCAATAGACAAAGAAGCACCACAGACCATGTCTACATAGGTAGAAGGGGAGGGCTGAGGCAGCCAGCTGGATAAAAGGGAACTCCCTCCATTCTATCAATGGAGAAAAAACTTTTCTGATTATAGCAATATAGTTTGGTTATCTATTTTGATCACATTATAAGAGTCCCACTCCAATTTGCCTTGAAGGTATACTTTAGTTCAAAAATGAGAATATTTCATCAGTTATTTTATTTCGAAAGCGAAAGAGCATTCATAATCCCAGAAAATTAGACTTTGATGATGGATATTGTCATAAAAATATTAATAATAACGATAAACATAAAAGCAAACAGGTATGTAGTGCTCACCACATACGAGGAACTATTTTAAGTATACTAACTAATTTAATCCAAACACCATACTTGGAAAGCGGCAAATTCAATGAGAGTGATTAAGTTTTATTTCAGGATATGTGGAGAAAGATTAATTTGACATTCTTTATCTCCATTAGGATAAACCATTTTAAATCACTAATGGCCTCAAACTAAAAGCCATCTCATGAGTTTAAATAATATGTTTTTCCTAGAACTACACTCTTGAGGATAAGTATGACAAAGTTTCAAAGCAATTCCCTTTTAAATGACAATTAACATAATCATCAAGCACTTAAAGTATACGGCATTGTACTAGGTACCGAGATTATTTTTCCATTAAGATTTCTTCCCTTCTGTTCTGTGAAAAAAAAATCACACTATACCGTAATAATCAAAATTATGTTATTGATCCCTATGGCAATGGCTATTAGCCATAAATGTTAAATGATCCTGAGAGCAGTTCAAGAAGTACCACAGTTTGAATCTTGACTTCTCAAAAGTTCTTAAAATCTTACAAAGATAAATCACTGTACCATATAAAGAATACTAACAAGGTAAATTAAAATATATACATTGCCTCTAATGTCAATAAATTTAATCTAAAAGCTAGATTGCATGAGTAGGTAAATTTAGGCTTTCATACTTGCCAGCTGCTTTCTGCCACAGCCAATTAGAGGTGTACCTCATACTCATTTGGAGCTCTCTGTTTACAAAATGCTTTCATTGAAATTACCTCATTTAATCATTACATCTAATCCTTGATTTAGTTATTATTATCATCACAGTTTAAAAAAGAGATAAAGTTACTTAGTAAAAGATCTATTTGCTAGTGAGGCCTTGAAGTCCTGTCTTTTGACATCAAGTCTTCTTACTTTACACCACATCACAACCACTTCAAGAAATAGATGATAATAAAGAAAAATATGTAGCACGTGACTCTAAGTAAACTAATTCCTCTCACTGAACTGTGTTAAGGCTGTAGTGATTCTTATCAAACTCTACTTAAGGATTCTAAAATCCCATTCAAAGCATCTGGGTTGGTACCAATAAAGCTCACCACATTAGTAAGGCATAATTATATGATTCAACATCGGAATAAAAGAGTAAGAACATGAGAAGACTGAGAAAAAAAAGAAAAGCAATACCAGAAAGTAATTTCATTTAAAAGAATTAAGCACAAATAAGCCAAAAGAAATCACTCCAAGGGACTCCCCCAATAAGCCTTCACGCCCCACACTATGAAAACATAGCCACTATAAAATCAGGTTGACCTGGGTAGCAGAAAATCACATACTCAACAGCTATGTTTGAGTAATTACCTTTAATTTGTCCCCAATAATAACCGAAATCAATTTTTACTTACCCAATAACTTGATGTTCATAATACTGCAGTGTCCTCTTGAGAGTCTGCTGTATCGTCTGAGGCTACAGAATAATAATAATAATAAAAACATATTATCAGCAAATCAGTACCATTCCCACTGTGAGTATCGTAGGCAGACAGGTGAAGCTTCTGATTTATCTCTTGAGAGTTTTCCTTCTACAGTATTAACCCATTTTGCATCATGCCATGTATTTTCCCCACAGAAACTAATATGAGGCACTCGGCAATTACCCAGAACTTCCCAATTTCAATTATGATAGTATTTCCTAGGAATGTTTTCTTCAATTCTTTTGTAACAGCTATTAAGTTCAATAAAATACACATTGGCTGCCTACAATAAACCCAGGCCCTGGGGATAGCAGGGAGGGTGCCCTGCAGAAACATGAGTCACGGTTTTTCCTTTCCAGCATATGTAATCTGCATGAGGTAATGAGCAACTGAAATCAAATGGCACGTCTTCATATTTTCTTCTACATTTTAACAAGGTTTTCAAGGATGGTCTAGCAAGCAGTGATAAATTGAGTTAAAAGAGTCAACTTTATAATAAAAGATATTTTTAAACTTAAATGATATTTTTTTCCCCGTTCTTTGAGGAGACTAACAAAAAGGCAGAGTAGGATGGGAAGCAGGTGATCCAGGGCCCCACAGCCATGACTGTCACAGCAGTCAGCCTGACTTCCTCCATGTCCCAAGAGAATTCAAGCAAAGGTTCTTTCTGGAGCATACTGGATGGGCCACAAGTGCTTCAGGCAAAATATGGAGTCTGCAACAAATATCTAAGCAGCTCATGACCACATTTCATAATCTCTTCTCCACGATGGCTTAAGACAGAGGTTCTTAATCCCAGATCAAGAAATTAAGCAACAGAGACTGAACTTGGAGTTTCAGACTTAGAGAGCCATGAATGGGACACCAAGATCCTAGAACCTAGATGTTATTAGGAAGTTATGATAAGAAGAACCAAGTTCTCAGTAGCAAGAGAGAGAATGTTTTAAATAACAAAAACCTGTAGTCAATTAAGCAGAAAAAAAGCACTCAAGGCCTCATCAAAGCATTGATCCATTACAGCCAAGGATGAATTCTTGGGGAATACGAATGTAATACAAACCCTTCAAGATGTGAGGCAGCATGGTAGCCTTCTACCTCTAAAAAGGCAATCTGCAGAAAGGGTCTAGCATAGTGCTGATACCTAAGAAGCAGTTAATAAGTATCAATTTCCAATTGCTAATCCTTCAAAGTGGCTGTCTTAAAAATATATCGTCTAAAGGAGACCCCAGGAGCTGGGCACTCTGGCTCACGCCTGTAATCCCAGCACTTTGGGAGGCCGAGGCACGTGGATCACTTGAGGTCAGGAGTTCAAGACCATCCTTGCCAAATTGGTGAAACCCTGTCTCTACTAAAAGTACCAAAAATTAGGCGAGCATGGTGGTACATGCCTGTAGTCCCAGCTGCCTGGGAGGCTGAGGCATAAGAATTGCTTGAACCCAGGAGGCAGAGGTTGCAGTGAGCCAAGATCACCCCCACTGCACTCCATTCTGGGTGACTGAGTGAGACTCTGCCTCAAAAAAAAAAAAAAAAAGACACCAGAGGTCTATGTCAAATCTCACTTAGACCCACTCCATGTCCACCTCTTCATAAAAACATCCAAGACAGATGTAACACTCTCCCTACCTAACACTCTTCGAATCTTTAACATCCTCCTTGGTAGGCAATGGTTAAAGTTAGAGGAAAGTGAGCTTAAATTGAATCAAGGGCATCTACTGAGATCTACTCTACATTACCACGTAGGAGAACCCTTTCACCACACAAATCTAAGGCCTCAGATACCTACTGCACATTAGCCAAACCAATTCACAAATTAATTTTAGGAGGAATCAGCTTCCAAGTGTTCAAAGGAGAGGTACAGAGCAACTTCTTTCAGCAGCTGCTTTTCACTTATACCAGGCCTCAGACTGGCACAAATGTTTCTACTCATCCAAACAGACTCAAAGCAGAGTAAATGGTATGCACCTAGGAAAGAAAAATCATTCCTGAACGAAGAGGCAATGGAATGGTTAAGAAATCTAAAGAGAATGAATCAGACATAGTGATCCTAGTGCACACAGAAAGCATGCTTTAACAACCTAGTCCATGACCAATCTAAATCCAATCATCATCAGTCACTAGCTCAGTACCCCTTGGATCTGGGCCTCTTGCACTGGCTTGGCAGTTCCTGAGCTAAGATAACTTTCCCCTTGGCAACAAACTGAAAAGGCAGTGGATATCCACAGAGGGATGATCCTTCCAATAACCTCTGGTCATAAAACATGGAACAGAAAGCAGGAACTAGAGTGTACAGGGCCAGTTAAGACCAGAATGACCTCATTTGTACAAAAGGACATTTTTTTTTCTGTACCAGGAATTTCCCAGTCATTAAAAAGCACATATTTGTGAAAGGAGTTAAGCCTTTTAAAGATCTAGCTTTTTTCTTGTGTGAAGCAATTACTTCCACTCCCAGCAGGAGTTAAATTTATAGTTTCCACATACATTAAAAAGAAATGTTCTCTGAGCACATCCAACAAAGCTTCAGGTTGATAAAGCATTTATGCACTTCCTATTTCTTGCCAAAGTGGGCAGGCACATTCTAATAGCCTAAACCACAAGCATAGAGGCTGACTGCACAGCATCTCCTAACTTCAGCAATCCAAGACTGACTTCAACACAGCCCTGGCCCCTCCGAATATCTTATCACCATGGATTCATTCCAGTTTTCAGAGTGTGTCTGAAGGCCTCAACCCATGGCCTGATCAGTGAGAGACAAATTCACATAATCTCAGCCTCTCTGACCTGAGTAAAAAGCATGAAGTGAAGACCCACAAACGGGCCAAAGCCTTCCATCAGATGATTTCTGCCTCTGGGGTGGTAGGGTCCAGCTCTCAACAAACTTTTATTAAGTGTCCATGTATGCCAGTGATGCAAGTCAATGTAGATCAGTGGGAACAACAAGGGCTTTGAAAACATGCAGACTGTCTATCCTCTTCTTTAAGAATGCAGCTCCATAACTGGCTCCTACTTAAGAGAACCATCCAACATTCTACAGGCCAAGATCCCAGTCCTCTTATGTGCATCTGTCCTTTTCTGCAAGGAGTTTGGAAAGATGATTTAGAAAAGAGGTTTTAAAGTCAAACTGAATTCAAAAGCAAGTTCTATGACTCACTAGCTAGATGACCTTGGGCAATTTACTTAAGCTCTTCTGAAACAAGATTCCTTATGCGTACCTTATTTTTTTTTTAGTTAAATGATCTTTTTAATTTTTTTATTATTATACTTTAAGTTCTGGGATACAAGTACAGAATGTGCAGGTTTGTTACATATGTGTACCTTATTTTTATGGGAATGCACTGAAATAATTAGAGCAACATCTCTGACACACAGTCGGTGTGTAATAAATGAGAGATATGGCTATGCTAAGCTGAAAAACATGGTTCCTACCCTCAGGAGTCTCATAATCTAATGTAGGAACACAGACTTCAATTAGAAAACTCATCCCACAGGTGTAATGTTTCAAGATCTTCATCATCGAAAAAAAATCAATAAAGCTACCGATACTTCTCATTATGAGAAGTTGACACCAATTCCAGTGAACAGAGGAAAATTCAGAAAAATGGCAGCCAGATTTATAAATATTTCCAATGAAACATTAAGATCAGTTGAGAGAGACAGTGATACAAGCAGAATTCTCAATATTAAGGCTGAGGATAGTACTAAAGCCAGGCCTGCCAGTGAGTAGGAACGACACTGAAACATCATAGCTAAGGTCAAGACCCCAGGCATTTACTTTACAGCTAATAAGAAACAACCATGAACTTCCTTCCTTGTATACAAAGAATGTGCAACAGGATTGCTGAGTGGCCTACTAATTTTATAGCCCTATGCTGGAGGATCAAAGAGACGAGGGTGGGAAAGGAGAAAATCTACTGTTCCTACTATCATAAAAAGAAAGTCAAGAGGTCTGTAATTTTTCTCTCCTTCCCCCAAACTAAGACATAGATAGTGGCCTCCTAGTGTCCCAAATCAACACAAACTAGCAATGGAGAGGAAGCCAGCTGGAAAGAGGAAGCAGCCATCAGTGTCCTGCACACATATTTTCTGTGGTTCAAACAGTGGGTACCAAGAGAGGGTACCCAAAAGCCTCCATCATATGGCGGCAAAAAGCCATCTTCATCTCTAGTCTCACTAACAGCTTCACTATACTTGACCAACAGTGACTGAACCCCACAGACTAAATGTTATGCTCAAGAAAGGTCATGAGATCCGAACAGCCAACCACGAAATAGTCCCAACAGAGCCAGAGAAATGATCCCTGAAGAGTGGGAGGAAGCAGTCCCCAGCAGCTGGCCCTGCAGGCTCAGACAGTCCCGCTGAGGCTCCCACACAGTCCCTGCTCTGGATATCTGCACCAGATGGTGCGGGGATCAGGCAGGAGGCAGAGAGTAAAGATGTGTCTCTCTCTCTCTGTGTGTGTGTGTGTGCGCGCACGCGCAGCGTGAAACACAGTTGTCATCGCACAAAATACATGTATGTCTCAATTTTACAGAGATGAAGAAGCTGCAGCTCAGGGAGGTTAAGCAAGTGTCACAAGATTACACACCCAGTAAGTAAATAAATCACTCCAAAACAGAACTGACTTCAAAGTGTATCCTTTTGCACTAGATGCCTTTGAGGCTCCCTCTTACCTTTCACATTCTGAAAGTCTATATTCTTATTTGATACACACAGCACTTCATCATGCCAAAAAAAGCCACACACATAATTTAAAAACAATCAAACTTCTCATTTCTGCTTAGTGACATATACTCACAAGACACAAACTTAATAGAAACAATAGGTCTGCCTTTAAAGAAACATCCATAAAGAGCCATATTATTTTATTTTTTTGAGATGGACTCTTGCTCTGTCGCCCAAGCTGGAGTGCAATGGTGCAATCTCAGCTCACTGCAACCTCTGCCTCCCAGGATCAAGCAGTTCTAATACCTCAGCCTACTGAGGAGCTGGGATTACAGGTGCGTGCCACCATGCCCGGCTTTTTTTTTTTCTTTTTTTGTATTTCTAGTAGAGATGGGGATTTCACTATGTTGCCCAGGTCTCAAACTCCTGACCTTAAGTGATCCACCCACCTCAGCTTCTCAATGCGCTGGGATTACAGGCGTGAGCCACTGTGCCTGGCCATTATTTTGTTTATTTAAATATGACAAAATATATCTATCAAGGTCAGAAACTAAACAATGTAGGTATATATTTAATCACTACTGCTCTAAGCCAATGGTTTTAAATTCTGCCTCACATTAAAATCACTTGGGGATCTTTATAAAAAATACCAAGGTCTACGTGCCACCCCCAGATTTTCCAGTTGAATTGGTGCGGGGGGACCCAGTTGCTTCCAATGTGTCGTTACGGTTGAAACCTTTCACTTAAGATATAAATATGATGAAAAAGACAAAAACACTGTGAACTTTATCTGAATAAGTCGGCATTAATGAGAATAGGCTCTTAATTCAAGTATCAAGAGAAGTAAGCTTCTGAGATGGATACTCATAACCGCTTAATTCAAACAGAGTCCCTTTCATTAACTGTCACTAATGGCTTATAATCAAATATGAATTTGTTAGATAAGCAAAGAGCTATGCTGCTTGAAGCATAAATACGAGATTTTTTTCTTTAATCTCACAGTAACCCACTCCCATGCAAATAATTCAGCATTTAGTTTTGTGCTAACATGCACATAAAAATACAACAGCTAGAATGACTACCGTGTTTTACGCCAGGCACTGCTTTAAGCCCTCTATGTATATGAACTTCTTTGATTTTCACATCACCACATGAGGTAGGTGTTATTATTTTTCACAGTTTATGAAGGAGAATACTGAGACACAAACTTTAAGTTGCCCTGTGTCACACAGATAAAAAGGGACAAAGCCAGGATTGAAACCCAGGTAGGTAATATGGCTCCCAAATCTAAGCATGTAACCTTCAACCTTTACTGCACACAATATTTAATGTTTTTTATTTGGTTGAGCACTTTACAGTTTGTATTTTTAATATATATTATCCTAATTGATCCTTGCACCAATCAAGTGAAATAATCAGACTGGTGTTATTATCACTAAAAAAGAACAAAATTTAGAGAGATTAGGTAATCTGTTCACCCTCACGTGACGAAAAGTAAAGAAACCCTCTTGTACAAAAAGAATATGTCTTTTTTTTTTTTTTTTTTTTTTGATACCGAGTCTCGCTCTGTCCCCCAGGCTGGAGTGCAGTGGTGAGATCTCAGCTCACTGCAACCTCCACCTCCCGGGTTCAAGCGATTCTCCTGCCTCAGTCTCCCAAGTAGCTGGGACTACAGGCACCCGCCTCCATGCCCGGCTAATTTTTTTGTATTTTTAGTACAGACGGGGTTTCACCATGTTGGCCAGGATGGTCTCGATCTCCTGACCTCGTGATCTGCCCACCTCAGCCTCCCAAAGTGCTGGGATTACAGGCATGAGCCACCACGCCCGGCCAGAACATGTCATCTCTTAGGAAACTGTCTTCAATAAGTAAGTAGTTTTTTAATGTTACATAAAATTACAAAATCACGTGTATTCAAACAATTGATTTTTTTCTTGAGAACACACAACATTCTTTAAATCAAAGCCATATCAACAAGAAAACCTATAAGCAAAATCAGGAATTAAATTTTATTTTAAATAATTCCACTTCCCCTTTCTTAGCTTTCTGTCATCCTCTAGCTCACCTTTCCCCACCCTCTGAGCACCCGGCGTCTTTGTGTTCCTTTCTGTTAGGCCAGATCCTCACCACCATAATCTAAACTTTCCAAAAGCCATTCTTTGCATATTCCCTTTCTTTCCCTCATCAAAATTCCAAATCCCCTTACTACCTTGTTCTAAGATGATGCTCAAGAGGAATCCTAACTCCATTCCCTCAAAACCTCAAGCCTGAATCCTTGCTAAGGTAAATGATGGTGTGAATGAGCTTCTCTACAATATAGAAGATGGTTGGAATCTTTAAGAGTTTAATTTTAGTAAACAGGCTTGTCAGAGAAAGATAAATTGTGGGGACAAGGAACCCTTCTCATCATCCTCCAGGTCACAAAGTGGAGATCACCACCTTCTCCATAACATGAGAACACATTGTTTCTTAGGATACCCTATGTCAAATTCCACAACTTAATCAGAATTATAATCTTAGATATGCTTTCTTTGTAGGTAGGCCTGTAGACACCAATGGATCAAATTATATAACTGACTTTATCACTAAAACTAATCCAAATAATGTCATTTCAAACAACCAGTTTACTTCTGAAGGAGAGGTAATTGTGTAGTCATCAATCTTGCTAGATATCCAGACATAATGTTTACTTTCCCAGCCTCTGACTAAACTTACTACATATAAGCCAAAAAATAAAAAATAAAAAAAAGACTGCAAATTAAATATAGAACTTTGAGTCAGGACCTCTATATTACAAATCCAGCTGTGCTACTGACCTTTTTTTAAAAAAAATAAAATTAGCCAATATCTCTTCACCTGAAAGTCCTCGGGGGAAAAAAAAGCCTCAATTTTCCCATCCGAAAAACATATGTAAGAAGTATGTAGTTCTCAGGGTCATCTTCAAGTACAGCACTGCAAAGTTTAAGCACTCGTAAATACAGAGTTGGAACATACTGGCGGTTAAACAACCTTCTCTGGGTAATCATAACCACACTTTTTAGAAGGATAGCAGCTTTATAGGAAGGTAGGAATACCATTTCAAGTGACCTACAACACTAATTTGCTAAGCAAAACTAGAAGTTCAGATAATTAGTTACAAAATGCAAAAATCCTAGGGGTGCTAAAGGAAAAAATAAAAAGCTAGAGATGCACTAAAATTAGGGTTTTTCTATCCATACTGGTTTAACATCTGGGCCATTTTTTCCAGTCTTCATTTTATTCTCCTTGTGAACACAGGTATATATTTGCATGACCTCATTAGAGCTTGGGGTAAATGTTGACATTATGCTAATTGACCCATCTGGGGATTCAAACTAATAACCTTTGCCTTATTAGAAGTATGCTCTAATAGCAAACCACAGTGGTTATCATCACTATTATTGGTTATAATTGATTATACTTAACATATAATCAATATTGTAATTAAGTCTTCCTATACAAAATGCATGTTTGCTTTCCCAGTATTTTCCCCTTTGTTACATCACTTTAATGCCTTTCCAAAAATAGCCATTGAATTTCAATTTGATACAAAACCTAATACCATCAATACTAATTTGAGCTGAAAACATACACTCCCTGAAGTATGAGTTATTTAGTCTTTCTTCTGCCTTCAGGCAAGAACACACTTAAGTCATCCAAGGATGTCTGATGTTTTCAAAGAACTCCAGAGAGTAACACCACCACCTTCGGTTTGCATAACACATTATGGTTTTTACAAATCACTTTTTTTTCCATCCTATTAGATACTCACAACAATCTCACGAGTCTCAGATTTAATTATCCACATTTCACGAATGAAAAAACTGAGCATCAGAGAGGTTAAAGTGTTTTGCCTCAGCTACAGAACTGGAAAGGAACACCATCAAGACCAGGTCGTGGGTCTCCTGTGCTCTTTCTGTCACAAGCTGCATCCTCCATTGGTAATTTATTTCACTTTGGTGACCATTAGGAAATACTTACCATGTATCTAACTGAAATTCCTTATTTCCTTTTGTCTTTAATGGAATGAAAATGAGATTGTTGTTTTCCCAAAATTGTAAACAGTGTCACTATTACTTAAATAGGTCCAGTATGCTCATTAACTTCTTAATAGTGAGATTTTAGGAGATATTAATACTTGCTTCACTGGTCACCATCACGGCCAATTTGGTTCAGTGTGAATGAAAATACCGATGATAAGACAAGATGGCACTGCTCCTAGACATTTTCTCAGGAAAATGGATCATGGTATAGCAAAAGCCTTTTGGTAGACGTGGCTTCCATCTTAAAGCCCAAAACCAAACAAAACTTCACAGATGGCATAGGGCTGATTCAGTCTTCAAAGTGTAAAATGGGGAAGCTTTCTGGGTTATTCACTGTAATAGCAACCAGCTTTGTGCTGAGTGCAACACTGGACCCTACGTGTCACATGCATCAAGTAATTTGATGTTCAAAATAATCTTACAAGAGAGTCAGAAGTATTACCCCGGTTTTATGAATGTGAAAAAATGAAACCCAGAGAAGTTTAAAAAACTTGCCCAAAGTCACTTAGGTAGTAAGTGTCTGAGTCACAATCCAATCTAGGTCTGACTCCCTCCAAAATCTCCAACCCCTTAACCTGCCCTTCTAAGCTGAAATACATTGTTCTATCTTCACCAACAGCAGAAAAGATTATAGTTGAAAGGGATTAACTCCTGGCTAGCCTGTGTGATTTGGGATACAGGATTTATTTTTCTGAACCTCAATTTAATTTTCATAAAATGGGAAAATTCCTGAATAACCTTTTCTCAGGGCTGTTGAAAGATCAAAATGAAATAAAACTATAAAGTATTACACAAATATGTGTTATGTGATGATTAAACTCAATGTATAAATCTCTTGATTATGAAGTAGTCAAAAAATTGCTAAATTGAACTAAACTGACCATGTCTAACATCTAGGACTGTTGCCAGCCATGCCTTACAGCCCAAAGATGCCAATTAGTAAATGCTGCAAAGCTAATTAGTGACATTTCAGCTCATAGGTACCCTACTGGATAGGAATGGATCTCATGAGAAAATCATTTCTAGTCTTTCAGACACCTTTGTGGCTTCAATTTGAGTATTTCCAAAGAATTCTCTATTGTGCCCAGTACTTGGGAGTTTCAGTGGGGTATTTCCCAAGAAGAGTCTGAGAATAAAGAAGTAATATTTCTGCCTGACAGTTAAATTATAAAATTAACACATAAAACAAAGAGATATGCTGTCAACCCTAAATGCACTAACTCGAACAGTAATTTGTAAACCAGTGGCAGAGAATTTGCTCCAGTCGCATGCCTGGGTTTCACTCCAGGCAAAGTAGGCCATTGAGCAATAGAAGCAACATATCTAAAGGTGACCAACAAAGGGAGGATATGGAGGAAGTGGTAAAATTAGAGATGGCAACCCATAGGAAAAAGAAGGGGAGGGGAATTGTTTATGAAACATTATATCTAATACTGTTTAGGAGCATATGGGCCCTCTGTCACAGTGAGAAAGATTATCCCTAAAGTAAGAAAAATGATTCAACCATCTTAACTAAAAATGAGTCTTATGAATGCCCTTGAACATCAGTTCTCACTGGCAAGGCCTTCCCTACAGCTGGAAAGCTCTATAAACTGGATTAAAGAACTTAGCATGAAATTAATTTTGCTTTGACTCTAAATGGATTAAAGCAAACTTCTAATTATGACTTGGTTCCTCAGATAGTCTGATCAGGTAAGAAATGTGCTGAGCATTAAGATTTTGAGTAATAAGACACATTTCACAGTTACTTCTCCTTGTAAATAAGTAAATCATCATTTACATGTCAACCAAAGTGCCATGGGCATTTTGTTTAGCCAGTCAGTGGCTAAGAGACTGATTATTTCAGGACACTGACAAGAACACGTCCTTGGACTTTAAAAGTCTCAGATGCTGAGACATGTAGAAATCATCAACATACTACTCAGGGTGGGTCCTGCCTAGCTCCATTGCTTCCACTTCTCTTGAAAGAAAAAACTCAGTAAGGGTCTGAATATAATTGGATCTAGTGTTGACTATAATCTGATGATCCAAACGGATATAAAACGTGCTTACTAGGCAGATGTTTGGCAGATAATGACTGCCACATCATCAGTGTCTATGATGCACTAGATTCCTAAGTTAGAGATACAGAATAATCACTTTTTCTGGAAAAAAAATTCATGCAGGCAGAAGATTAATACTGCATAACATAAAAAGTCTTTTTTAGTTTAACTCTAAACTATCTGAGCACATTTTTTAAACTAGCTATCACTCTATTACATATTATATTATTTCCTCATTCCTTCTAATAAATTATTTATGCCAAGATACATGGATGTATGGGTATGCATAGTTTATATACAATATAGGTAGAGAAATATATACCCTTATGCATGTAACTATTTATCTGATAATCAAGACTTCCTTCATATTCAGAAATCAAATGTCAGGTAATGTCATTCTTCTTCCCGCACTCTATAGCATAAACTAAGCTGTTGGCAGTATCAGTGGCTTTTGTCACTTTGCTCCTAGCTGCCTCACCCACAGAAGCCCAGAGCATACAAACATGACAGCGGACAGGCAAACTAGGTCAGCCTAGAGGCAGAATCCTGAGGAAGAAAGAGCCCTTTATCATTTCTAACACAGGCCTATGTTGTGTAAACTCATCACACAGTCTGGAACTAAACAACTGGTAAGAGGTACAAGGCCCACAAAAATCGCTACCACCACTCCTTAACAAGTCAACAAAGTAGGAGCCATAGGGGAAGCAAGATAGGGAACCCCCCCCCCCCACCCGAGCAAGACTATATATTAAGGTTAGACCTCTTCGTGGCTATGCTGAGAAATAATAGCATGGTAGAAAGAGCTTAGGGTTTGCAATAGGAGAACCGGGCACTAAAATGTCGGTGGTTACCAACTTTGGGCCTTGGTTCCTTCACCCTTACATTGGGCCTATCAAGAATCCATGTCCTGCCTACCTCATATACTTCCTGGGTGAATCTAAGTGGGATAATGTATGTGAAAAACATGTTTTAGAAACGCTAAAGAGATGTCACTTATTGCTACTGTCTTTTCTGTAGGGAAAGTATGTATCCGCACATCAATCTCTCACAGTCCTGAGGTGGGGAAAACTGAAAAGAAAAAAATAAAGTGATGTCACTAATGCCTTGTATCTTTAGGTGTTAAAAAAAACAGTATAGTTGGGCAAAGTCCTGGCTTTTCAAAATTCTCTTCAAATCTGCTTACTCTAAAAACTAATCAAAATAAGCTGTTTATCACAAAATGGCCATCATGATGTGAATTGTTGTGGGGGACATTTTCGAAGACCTCCAGCAAAAGACATCAAAACTTGCTCACTTGAGAACCAAACTGTAAACTATGTAGTATTTCTGGCCATCTGTTTGTCTCATTACCTAATGGAAAATTAGTAACTTGGAAAAGGAGAGAGAGAGGGTGAAAGGATGTGAATAAGAAAGGGATATTGGGAACAGCTGCTTACAGAGGAGAGGAAATGTTTCTGACATGGCATCATGTTTTTTCAAATTCTTCCTAGATATTACATCAGTTTAAATATCTTGCTCTACCATTCAGCTTTACAAATATCTGTCAAACGTTGTCCTGCACAAGTTATATAAGTAAGCATGTGCATATATTCACACCGGAATTTTAATGTTATGATGCTTGAAAAGAAGGTACTGATTGGATATCACTTACTATTTTCCAGCTTCTAAAAACATTTTAACTTCCTTGCATGCATAACGACTCTTAACTGGAATTTCCAAGGCAAACCCAGTATGGGGCATGCATTATTACCACAACACATATTAATCCATAAATTATTCCTATAAATAGCAAAATCTCTGGAATCTCTAAGCATTATAAAACATAAGGACAACATCAGCCCCATTTGGTCCTGAACCTTATTTAAAATGAGCCCTAAAGTAGCAGTAATAGTTCATTAAAAAAAAAACAGTTTATAATCCAAAATTTAAAAGTATAATGCCACATCATCAAAAATGCTATATATTATTATTTTGTTTTTACTTCCCAATGTATCCATGTTATCACTACAGACCAAGAACGTTAAATAATTTACCGTCGCAAAGGAGATCTCCAGATGGCTGACTGAGAGATCCCAGAAGCATCACTGCTATATAGTCATCACTACGTGGCAGAGTCTTGTGGGGCCAGACACTAGATTTGATTTTAGGAGCACCAGGAGAGCTATCTCCATCCCACCCACAACCCCATGTTCCTCCAAAAAGGTTACTTTCCACTCCTATGCAGGTCCTTACAATCAAGAGAGGTTCTTTTGAATTAATAATTTTACATTAGGTATTTAAAATGTACATAGTACAATTTATCTGGGAGAGTCTTACAGCAGATTTTTGTGGCATGAGGTTCTGATACAGGAATAAAGACAGAGAGAGAGAATAAGGATTACTAAAAGTAAATGCCCCCACTTAACATTTTCGTAACCTTAATCCATAATATATCAGAGGTTGAACTAGTATAAAATACCAAGGCAGAAACTGATAGGCTTGACTTTAATATGCCCATGATTCATTTCTATTAGTCACTCTGGAAGAGCAAAACCATAATAAACTTTGTTATTTTAGGTTTTTAAGATGTTTTCTTGATGTTATGTAACATCTTTACATGGTTTATAAGATTTGTGGATTTATAATCACACAAAGTAGCTGAATACCTTATCTAATGGCCAAAATGTGTTGGTTTGATCTTATTTGTAGATCCTTATTAGCGGATTCATATTTTATAGTTATACAATTGGTAATATTTCGTTGACTCATACTTGAAAGTGACTTACTAGTATATATTCTTTGAAAAAGTATGTTTCTTGGGGTAACTTGTAGTACAATACTTTTTCCAATTACATGTCCAATGGAATTGTTAATTTCTATCACTATAGTTGCCATTAGCACCATTAAGGTGATATATTCCACCTGTATAATCAAAACAATTGGATATTTGTGTTCACTAGGTGTTTGAGACCTAGATTATCTAGATTTTTCTAAACAGTCAAGAAAGCTAGATTGATGGTAGAAAATTACATTTACAACTTAATTTAATATTTTATTCCTTCCATTTTTCCCTCACCCGCAACCCAAGAATGCAGCTGAATAAGGAGATAAAGTGCCTAAGTCCTTAGAAAATCAGTAGGCAGCAGCCTCCTCCACCACAATTCATATAGTTAGCCACCTGCAATAAGCTGCTGGAGAATCCCATCCATTCTCCTTCAGCAGGAAAGTTAGGTTTATAAATTGCAGGTATACTTTTGGAGAAAAAAATTTAATTCAGAACAAAGGGGAAGATTGGTTTTCTTTGAAATGTGTTTACAATGGCAATAAGTTAACACAGAAAAAGAGAGAAAGACTTTATAGCTTGCAAACACTGTCAGGTCCACAAAGCATTTACTGATCTTTATGTCAGGTGGAAACAATAAATCTCTCTTCTCCAACTTCCACACTAGAAACTCCCTCATATCTGTCTGAAGCTTCAAATGGAATTACAATAGTCTGTATCTAAGGTTTACTCTTTCCCTCCATCTCTGTTCCATTACAACCCAATCATCTCATCATTATCACTCCCTACAACAATGCCTTTGGAGGCATATTCTTTTGTTAAGGAAGTAAAAGACATTTTCATTAGTTGTGGCAAATTTTAAAAAGATACAATAAGGGTAATTATACCTACTCCAGATTTCTATTATGTGATACTTTTAAATTCAGAATCTAATGACAGGGTCATCTCTCTCCCTCTCTCCTGCCCTATGAAATCAATAGTAGATTGGTAGATAAATACATAGATATAAATAGATAAATACAGATCCTTCAAATATCCTATTAAAATAAATTTGGGTTTACATGTGTAAATACTATGATAAAAACACAATTTGTAAGACTCTCTCTATCCTTTCCTTTTTAGAAAATAACAAACTCCTTAAGCCAAAAAGCAAATAATTGGTAAGACAACATTTAAAATCAAGACATGATTCATACACAAATTAAACCAATCACACAAGGGAAAGAAATGAAATTGGAAGAAGGCAAACAGACTCAGAGTGACCATGCACTGAGAGAATTTGGTCAATACTCATTACAAGATATTTATTTCCTTTTGTTAAGGTCTACATAAACCTACTGAATTAAGATAATAAGCTTCTAACTAGTACAATGACAGGTTTTTCTTAAATTTGCTGAAGGGGTAATATGAATTTTTCTTCCACAAGTTCTGGATTTCTCTTGGGAAGACTTTATACAAGAAAGAAGTTGGAAGAAAGATAAAATCTTTCTGAAATTTCATTCCTGAAATGTTTGAAACAGAATCACAAGAAAATAGGTAGCAGAGCAGTAGGTGGGGATATAGAATTATAAGTATTTTCCCCAAATAACTGAGACATCTCAAATCCCTGGCACAGAAACAACAAATATCTGCTTAATAAAATACTATTGAATTTCTTTAAAATATAATTAGATCATGTAGACAGAACTTATTTTTTCTTCCTAGTATATAATGTAAGTTGACTGGTGTAGAAGATCAAGCATTCAAGGAAAATACATTTTTTTTAATTGGGCTAATGACTGGAACCATTTTTTGCTCCACAGATTTAGGGTTCTGGCTCATGACACAGTAAAATTAAGCATGCATAGGGGGCATACAGTAAATATATGAAATAATAAAAATTAAAATAACAGGACATAATAATTATTTACATTTGCATATTCTCTGTTTTTCTACTTTGTTTTTGCTGTTGTTGATTTTATTTTTCTTAAGTGGATTTGTATTCCCTTTTTTGGTTCTTACAACATTTGTGTGGTATACTTAAAAAAAAAATCTTTACATTCACTCTAAATTTACTCATTTAAAAAATATTTATTGCCCAGGCACAGTGACTCTCGCCTGTAATCCCAGAACTTTGGGAGGCAAAGGCAGGCGGATCACCTGAGGTCAGGAGTTCAAGACCAGCCTGGCCAACATGGCAAAACCCCATCTCTACCAAAAATACAAAAATTAGCCGGGCATGGTGGCGGACACCTGTAATCCCAGCTACTCGGGAGGCTGAGGCAGGAGAATCGCTTGAACCTGGGAGGCAGAGGTTGCAATGAGCTGAGATCGCAACACTACACAGCAGCCTGGGCGACAGAGTGAGACTCTGTCTCAAAAAAAAAAAAAAATTGTTGCCCAACCACAATGTGCCAGGCATATTGTAGTCATAAAATTTTGCAGTACATAAAATAGATATAAATCCTTGCTTGATGAAATTGATTAAAATTCACCCAGAAAAGGAAAGAGAGCCAAGAAGCTACATTTGATGACATATGTCCTATTTGGCCTTATTTCACCTTCCACACTACCTTTCAACAGTATAAAATATATTTAATATACCGACAAAATAGAGTCCTATTCACTTGGCTCCTAATACCTCGAGAGTTCCCTCCATTAGTGACCTTTCTACCAGTATCAAAAAAGTGTCAAAAAGAGCTCTAACACTGAACAAAGTCATATCAGACATGGAGAGAATAAGAACAGGTGTGTGTGTGTGTGTGTGTGTGTGTCCATACACAACTCGCATAAATATATAAACTTTTATAACTACATATATATATAAAACACTTTTATAAGTAAAACAAAACAAGCTAATACAAACACAAATAAAAAAACAGTTCCCTCCATATGGTGTTCAATTTATAAATGCTTATTTTTAGGAGGATAGGAGAAAACCCGAAGTCTAAAGCTATTGATAAGACAATCCAAAAGTTATGTAAGCAGTGGATTATACAAATGAAATAATGTACTCTCCATGACTTGAGTAAAATTACTGAAGGATGAATTAGTGACATTTCATACCTGATTTGACATCCCATAGTCAGTGCAGCTGCCATCATTAATATATATCTAGAGAACTGCAAATTGCATGGCAATTTAAATGTGATAATTGCTAGATATACAAAATTACTGGCCAATGACTAAGTTAAAATGACAAAATCTAGACAAGAATGTAATAATAAATTAGGTATGAATAAAACCAAAATATGACAGTAGCCTTTGCACTGTACTCCTACTCTGCCATATTCCTACATTCCCCTTGAGTATAAAGAAAGAAGTGTCCTCATTCTTAGGAAATAGGTTAGAGAATGCCTCTAAAGAGACCCTATCCTTGATCAAGTCTTATCTCATCCATCTCCAGTTTTTTTTTACTTATCTTTTACCTTCAAACATGAATTTCCAACTCTAATAAACTTAGATTTGGCCTCACAGGTGCTGCTGTCTCTATTTTTATCAAATGTCTTGAGTCAGAGATGTATGCCGACAATATCCTTTGTTTACTCACCATATATTCCCTTTTTAAACTTTGTTATATAGGTCTTTATCTCAGTTGCAGGATTGGCATCGCTTTTCTAAGGCCACTAGCAACCTCAATCATACTGGATTTGAAAAGACCATCCTTAAATTTCATTATTTTGCAAATATCAACCACTGGGTCCTTGCTCCCAGCTGCTCCCAGTCACCTCCCATCCTACAAACACACAAAAAAATCCTGTCACCTATATTCTTTTTATTCTTTCTGTATATTTCCCCCTAATTCTCCGTTGTTCTTATTTTTTTCTCTCTCAGAGTGTTTGTCAATTTTCAAGATACTAGCTATCACCTCTAAAGTAACTATCTTCAATCACAAGCTCTTAGCCAGATTCCAATCCCATATCTTCAATCCTCTATTTATTAAATCAACTGGCAGGCACTTAACTGAGCTTGGTCATTCAGTAAACAAACCCTTAAAGATCTCACAGTCCAGAGCTAATCATTTTTACTAAATTCAAAATATCCAAATCCAAAGCTATCATTATATTTCTCCCAAATGCCACCTTCCCATTACTGAATCTTGCACTTTTGTTAATGCCATGACAATTCTCAAACTCACCATCACGAGTTGGGTTCTCCAGGAAGCAGACTCTAAGAAGGAGATTAGCATGCAGGAAACTTATTAGGGAGTGTTCTTGGGATCAACAACCATGAAAGGGTAGAGAAGAAAGCAGAATTGGGCACAAGGAGAAGTTGGACTATGATGAAGACTCAATGGAAGTCTCAGCTGACCCTACATAGAGCTCTGATCTCAGAGTTGCCTAAATTAGAGCAAGAAGGCCTAGCTTTCTTATCACATGGTGATTAATCATGGGAATGGGGCATGACTTTGAGCAAGGCCCCTCTCCTCAGGCCAGGCAATATATAGAGAGGACTAATGATTGAGGGCTGACTGTCAACAGAACCCCTAGCATCTAGAGGAATGAGTCCTTCATTACTAAAGGGGCATCTAGGCAGTGAATCATGACGTCCACCACATTCACCAAAGCTTGAAATATATAAAATACTGAAAGGCATATGAGGTTTGGAGTTAAACAGAACAAGATTCCAACCTTATTTCCGTCAGTAATTAACTGTCATCATAGGCAAGTTACTCAACTTCTCTGAATCGAAATTTTCCTATGAGATTTTGAAAATTTAGTGATACATATTATAAAAGCATTTGATCAATTCTGGCTCCATAGCAGTTGCTTAATACATGTTAATTCTCCTTCTCCCCTCCCCCATGAGTTATTTTTAAATATTCTCTTTCTTTTCCAAGCCCTAAGGCTTCCTCTGAAGTGACACTATACATCAATAAAGTTATATAAAGACCCTACCTCTAGCTAGGACTATTCTAGGTGCTGCAAAGCCCACAGAGAGCAACGCTGACAAGGTTCCTCCTTTGTGTAACTTAAATTATAAGAGGGAAGACAGGTAATAAATAGGTAAACTAGTAAATAAGATAATTTATGATAGTGAAGCTATGATGAAAAGAATAAACAAACAGTGATGTGAAACAGAATGGTTGGTGTAGGAGGACTACTGTCTGATGAGGTGACACTGAGCTGAAAGCTGAAAACTAAGGAAGAGCCAATCTTGGGAGAACCAAGCAAAGGATGTGGGTAGAGGACATTTCTGACATGAGGAACCGAACAATAGTCCTAAGGCAAAATGATGCTTGCTTAGCATATTCAAGGAGTGCATCATAGAACCATGAGTATATAGAGTACAAGATGAGGTTAGAGACATAGGTTCTTGATGTTCTCTGTTAAAGTCCTATGACCATGGTAAGGCATCACCCCTGCATTAATATTGTGAGTATTTAATGGAATAAAATTCATGGAACACTAAGCACACTGCCCGATAATGGTAAGCACTCAACAAATAAATATTATTATCATCATTACTATAGCTTCAACTGATCTTTTTAGATACACACTGTACTTTGACCCTATGTCCCACACATCACACAAAACTAGAAAAGGTCAGCATAGAATAAGGGGCAGAGACAGACAGAGGGGCAGACAATAGCTGCTGTGGACATAATTTGGTAATTTTTTAAATGTGATTTTACATTTTTTAAATTTTTTTGGAGACAACTTCTCACTGTCACCCAAGCTGCCATTCAGTAGTGTGATCATAGCTCATTGCAGCCTTGACCACATGGGCTCAAGTGATCCTCTCACCCAGCCTCCTGAATATCCAGGACCACAGGTGCATGCCACTGTGCCCAGCTAATTCTTCAGTATTTTTGTAGAGACAAGATCTCACTATGTTGCCCAAGCTGGTCTCAAACTCCCGGGCTCAAGCGATCCTCCCATCTCAACCTCCCAAAGTGCTGAGATTACAGGCGTGATTTTACATTTTTAAATACAAAAATGACAATGTAAAATGTTTTTTCTGAGAGCCCCTACTTCATTCATGTGTTTAAAGTATATGGAATATATGCTGAATAAATTAGTAAGTGCTCATTTGATAATAAATGCTGTCTGAATTAATGAATGAATGTGAGAGGTAACTGAATGAGTGAATAAACAAGAACCTGGTAAGATCGCATTTGTTTTTAAGATTTCTGAAAGAGAACATCTTTTATAAGTATATTACCCCTACAGTATAACCCTGAAATGTCATATGCCCAAAAATGTTGGAAATATTTCCCATAAAAAGCATAAGAGCACTAAACACGAACCATGACAAAAGGTATTATCTAGAGACTTTGCCAAAGATTGTGGCTAGAGGTAATTGAAAGTATCAGGATAACTGGTAAGAAGGTGTTAGCTAAAGGCACCAAAATCTATTGATCGTATGCTATAGTCCAAATACTGTGCTAGGCATTACTATACTTTTAATCTTCATAATCCTATGAATTGTAAACCTCATTTTATACAGAACAAACTGATCCTCAGAGAGGCGAATTTATCCAGTGATGCCCAAGATAACAAGAAGAGTTTGCCAGACTGCAAATCTCCTCTTTTCCCAGAATGCAGAGAGTTAAAGAACCTGAAGGAATATTTTGTTTTACAAGAAAGAAGTGAAGCAGAACAAGGAAGTCATGAGTAATAGTAAACACAATGTCTTCCATTCACTGTTCACATTTTATTACATATTTACTCTTGAGTGAGAGATTAGTGAGATAGATGTGATTTCAGAGATGGGAAGTGGAGACAAAAGTTATTTCCCCAAAGTCAAATTAGAACAAAAATCAGAATGCAGCATCTATTGAGTTGCAGGATCAGCCTCCAACCATTCTGTGCATGTATATATACAAATGGGCTGATAGGCATTTTTCAAGGAAAACAAGACAAGCACATTCACCAAATTATACAGAAGTCTAAAAGATAGGAAAACGGTTTGTTAAAATCTACTCACAATATCTTTCCCTTGCCTAAGAGACTCCCTGGTGGAATATGAGAAATGGTATGCACATTAACTTGGTCAGACCACAAGTACCATTTACTTCCTCAGTGCTTCTACATAGAGCAAGTTTGCTATTATCAAGCACTTGATTATCTAAAACACTGCCCACACCAGGATGTTCACACAATCTACAGCAGAGTGATAGTTAATACTCATAAGGACAACACTGAGGCACTGAAACACACAGGTGAACCTTTGGGATTATGAAGGACTGACTAACAAATTTAAAATCCTTTCACTCTTAAGTGCATTTCATAGAATTTCATCTGCTCTCTTACAAATCAGTACTGCATATGTGATAGCTCACTTAGAATGTTTGATTCACCAGAACGAATTTCTACCTTTTTAAGAAGGAAAATATCCACTGCACTCTCCAACACAACCTGAAATGTTTTGGTGGTCACTGCTACTCTAAAACCCGTAGACTGTCTTATATTCAAGGAGTGATGTATCAAGTCTGAGCCAAGAAAACCGTACAGTATACCAACTACTCATTGGAACCATAAAAAAAAATGCATGAATGATGTAGCTAAATATCCTTGGGCTTTTCAAGGATTAGTCCTAACTTTGAAAGCATGATGTAAATACTAATCAAGCAATTAATTAGAACTGAGTTTCTCAAAGACTAACTAGTTACCAGGTTACCTGATTCTGGTTTAGAAGAGGGGTAAACAAATCAGCTACTCCGAGAGAGTGAAATGAATAGTGAAAGAATGCTCTAGATATATTCTAAATAGTCTTAATTTCAGATCGGTGTTCAAACAGAAAGGCTAGAAATGTCTTTGGATTATTGCAGCTTTCCCCGTTTGGACATTCACTCATTATTCCTGAAGACATAACCCTCCACTCCAGCGGATTGTCCCCAAACACCTCAAGCTCAATCTGACATATAGGCCTTCTAATGCATAAACAATACTATCATTGCTTTATACCTCTGCATGTCATACTCATCTTCCCAATTTGATCTACATACTCATTATCTCCAACCTCAAGTGGGCCCTCAAAAAACACCCAATAACACTTCTTCCTATTCCTAGGCAGTTCTCTTCCCCAATCTTTAAACAAGCAATTTCTAACTCTACACTTTTTTCAAGGACACTATCCCTCCCTGTGCCACTATTGTGTCCACTAATGATTATTGTAAGATAGATATATGGATATGCTGGTTTGTAGAATTGTATTTAATAGAATGTTTGGTAATACAGGATTTCTTACATACTAAAATAATAATGAACAACACAGCATGATAGATTTACTGTCCCTCTAGCTTACAGATACACATTTCTTTAGGAGATAATATAGACACCCTTGTAAGTGGCAGCACATCAGCAACCCCAAATAACTGTTGTGTCTACAGGCATTTTAAGATAATCATACTATCCGGCCTGGTGCGGTGGCTCACGCCTGTAATCCCAGTACTTTGGGAGGCCAAGGCAGGCAGATCACCTGGGGTCAGGAGTTCGACACCAGGCCCAGCCAATATGGCGAAACCCCTAATAAACATACAAAAATTAGCCAGGCATGGTGGCATGCGCCTGTAATTCCAACTACCCAGGAGGCTGAGGCAGGAGAATCGCTGGAACCCGGTGGGCAGAGGCTGTGGTGAGCCAAGATTGTGCCACTGTACTCCAGCTTGGGCGACAGAGCAAGACTCCATCTCAAAAAAAAAAAAAAAAAAAAAGATAATCATACTACCCAAAGTGAGAGGCAATTTGCATAAAACCTACAGATTATTATGAAGTCCCAATAAAATGTCAGGTAGGAGAATGTTTAGAAAATCTTAACGCATTCTAAAAAATAATGTTATAACTATATTCCCGTTTATGTCTGAGAAAAAGCTGCAAACAGAACAGTCAGATAAAATAATCAATTAAAAATCACAAAATCATTATAGCCAAAAGAGCAGTACCAAATACATCATAAACTACACAAGGACTTATTCAATCATTTATTCATTCTTTTAACAAACATTTATTGAGTGCCTTTATAATTCAGATACTCTGCTAGGCATGCGCATACATAGATAAATAAGACAGGATTTCCATCTCAAAGAGGCAGAATAAACCAAAATCAAGGTACAATACAATAAGTCCCATAATGGAGATGTGAGTGATAAGTTAGGATTCCATAGGGGAAAAAATGGAGTGACAGAAATCACGATATATATACACGTGTGCGTGTGTACATAAAAACAGTCAGAAAAACCATCCTCTCCCAGTATTAAGTTGGAGGGTTCATGTATGAAGAAGCATAGACATAAAGCAACAAGGAATGGAAGGATGTTTTAGAACATTCTGATTTTTGCCATTGGCCACAGTAGACTCACGCATAACAAATATTATACAGTGAAAGGAAAATGAGTCAAGTGGACTTTATGGACTTACAATTAAGGTAACATCAGGACCTCCACACAGATAACTTCCTTTCATGATAGATTATTAGAGTTGTCTGCAAATACAAATTCTTCAAATGTTGGATCACCATTTATTTACTTGGAGAACTAAATGAGAGACCCCCACCCAACTTCACCACTGAATGAACGGCTAAGGATGCAGAGATTAGGAAGCATTAATGTTAGTGTCATATTTTGGTAAGGTTTGAGAGGTGGCCCTATATATCTGATATCTGAACCTCCTATTGTTTTCTTTCTAGAAAAAAAAAATTCTGGCATTCAGATCTGTTTTTTCTCCCTTTACCTTTTTAATTTTTCATTGGCATGTAAACAAATCACTCCTCCAAAATGAACCAGTAGATGGAGCATTTGAGAAATGTTGTGTCAATCTCACTCTGAAAAACACAAATGCTGGTGATAATGTCAAATTCACCCTCACAACCACCCTTCTTTTTTTCTACAATCCCCAACCTTTTCAAATATCTGTTTCTCTGTTTTGGAAAAAGGGGTCACAAGATACTTATAGTAATGACATGCGAACTACTGAACATAAACATAAGCAGTTAACAAAACATCCTCGGGAAAAACGGGCAGAGTCCACAGATAATTAAAGCTACAAATGGTGAAACCTCAAATACCTTCTACCATACAACCAGTAAGATTATTTCGACCACAAAAGATACAGCCATAGGATGTGGGGATAACAGCACCAATTCACCACCTTTATCCCTAACCCAGTAAAGGTAATAGTTGTCTGGGATACATTAATCCCAAAGGAAGCGACTTTCAGGATCATTCTTCCCAAAAATCAGCCCATAGAGCTCACTGCTCAGTAGTCCTCAAGGTCTGGAATTCAGTCACCTCTAGACATACCTTCAGCATGCTGAGCAATTACCTGGAGTTTTGTTCAAAATGTAGTTTGGGCCCCTCCCTGGAACTATCCAACCAGATCCTCTGAGGATGAGACCCAGGAATCTGCATTCTAACAATTTTCCTCAGGTATGTCTTGTGTTCAATGAAGCTTGAGAGCTACTAGATTAAATGAAGAACTGTTTAATAAGCCTCAAATAAAGCCTGCTCTGGAAGTGATTTCTCACTATTTATAAGAATGTTTACTCTTTCTCATTTCCCTACAACAGCCCCAGCAAATTTCCCGCCTTCCAAGATATTTCCCACTGCCCTACCTCCTAAATGACTCTAGCCCTCAATGTTATGAGGTACTCTGAGCTAACAGCACATAATTCTAGATCTTCAGATCCTGTCCTGAAGTGATGTTTAAGGGCCATAATTATGTCATTTCCATCTCCTAGTAGTGCATTTTTGGCAACAGTAGCCTACTTGTTGACAAACATTTCTTCTCATTTGACAGAGAATTGGGCAGAAAATATAAGCAATCCAGACTGTAGAAGAGTCATTACATTTACCTAACTTCTTAAAATATTATATAAATGGACGACTCAAAGAGTCCAAGGAGGAGGATACTGTTCCATCTGCTCTTTTTGTAAAACGACTTCCTTCCGAAGTTTTGCTTTAAATAGCAGGTGTAAGCAAAATTCAAACAGGTTCGCATACTTGAATATGTCTATCACAGGCTGGATGAAAAATCTAAATATTTTGGTTGATGGAACTAAATATACCACCAAAAAAAAATTAAACACAAAAGAAACATTAATAAAATTGAACAATTAAACAAAAACATGTATTTACTTCTCCTGAGCACTTTTTTTTTACTTTTTTTGAGATGGAGTATTCCTCTGTCACCCAGGCTGGAGTGCAGTGGCATGATCTCGGCTCACTGCAACCTCCCCCTCCCACTTTCAGGCTATTCTCCTGCCTCAGCCTCCCAAGTAGCGGGATTACAGGCGCCCACCACCACGCCTGGCTAATTTTTGTATTTTTGGTAGAGACAGGGTTTCACCATGTTGGCCAGGCTCGTCTTGAACTCCTGACCTCAGGCAATCCATCTGCCTCAGCCTCCCAAAGTGCTGGGATTACAGGCGTCAACCACTGCGCCTGGCCCTCCTAAGCATTTTATTGAACAACCATACTATGCTAAACACAAGTTAAACATAAGAATATCAAGGACAGAGGCTTTAAATGTTAAATTAACCCACTGCCTCATGCATCGAACAAAGGGCCTGTGAAGAAAGCCTGCTCAATAGATAGCCCTTGCAAATATTCTCCCGGCCTATGTGCCTACATGTGTGTGAAATCTCAAAAAAGAAAATTATACCTTCCTAGTAACTCATGATCAACAATGTATGTGTCAAATGACAGTGCATTTATTTTCCTATCATATTCAATAAAATATTTATGTTTTATTTTACTTAGAGCTCTGTATAATTAACGGCAACAGGACAAAAAGGTGAACAAAAAGACTAATGATGACATAGATGGGAAAAATATATAATAGCACTCAAGTACTTCACCTATGCATCTTAGAGTCCTTAAAGGTAAATAAACTATACACTAAAAAGGAATATATAATCAGGACTATATAATATATATAAAATATATTTTTAATATATTAAATATATAAATATATTTATAATATATACACATATATATTTATAATATATAAATATATATCTTTAATATATATAAAAAGGAGTATATAATATATAATACTATAATATATAGTCAGAGTGTCTGACTTCTACTTACAAACCTAATAATCACTGATGTCATTTCTCATTGACAAAATGTAACTTTAAAGTGAAAGTTCTACTCTTCAGAAGGCTGAGGCAGGAGCAAGACCCTATTTCAAAAAAAAAAAGAAAAAGAAAAAGACAAAAGAAAGCCTAGCAATTGAACCAATAGCCAAACAAGAAGGCAGCACCATAAAATATAAACAGCATTAGCTATGTAATTGTTGCATCTCACTATCAAGGCCTTTGAACACACATACAGATTAGTTTGAATGCAGTAGATGAAGAATGCTTGGAATTCTTAGGCAACTGAAATAAATAACTTCTCTTTCACCTACAATTTTTCTAATTTAAAATTAACTTGTCATGAAATATCTACATTCTACCAAATATATATGTCCTTGTATTTTTATAGAATTTATAAAGTAGTTTTCATATTGCCACACAGCAGTCAGTAATCTGATGGAAATGTTTGGATCTGCAATTTTTATATGTCTGTGTACACACATGAGTCATACCCAGGGGCCAAAAAGGGACTCCAGTTTTAATTTTTTTAATGGATTGTCTGGGCTATGCCGACAAAATACAGTGCTTCTTATTACTTTTTTTTTTTTTTTCGTACTTGACATCTGTTAACCTATTCTATAAACTTTTCCAATTAGGTGACTAGCAAGTGAATTATTGAGAAAAAAAGAAAATGAAAAATTTAGATCACTTTGAGGCATTCAAATTCAGTTAAAATTAATAGATCTCACCCTGAAACTATCATCTATTGAGTTTAGGAAGCTTTAAGAAGAATATTCCTCCTTATACACAACAAACCTACAAGGTAGTTGTTATTCCTAATTCACAAAAGAGGAAACTAAGGCTCAGAGAAGATAAGAGTTAGCTTTCCCAGGGACTCATACTTAGTAAGGGGCTCAGCAGAGGATTACTCAAACCGAAATTTGTCAGACTCCAAAACTTTGTGCTTTCAACTCTGTCATGTTGTTTCTAAATGATTGGGGATAAGGTAAAGAAAGGCAATAGATTGCCATTAAATTCTGATTTCAGATTATAGTATCTATTTTCAACAAATGTGAAAACATTAAACAACTGAAATATACTTTATATAATTTTATAATGGTAATGAATCTGTTTCTATAACTTTGTTAGCCAAATTAAGCCCCAAATTTAAAAAGCTTTAATTAAACTACCTAAATTTGTCCAATAGCCTACCTTACGAATATATTTTTTACATTTTTCATTGTCTACATGTTAGTTACACACATACTTTCTAAGGTTTTTTTTCAAGGTTTATACATGTCAGAGAGCTCATTTTATTTAATATCAACAGAAGCTAAAGTATTTTATGCCTTTTCATTCTTTCCTTGACATGTATTAAGATAATTTCCTTCCCCAAAATAATAATTTATGCTTTTTTGTCACTTGAATCTAAGCTTCCACCTTCATTTTTTCCTCTTCACTAGTCTCTGTTTCTTGAACAACTCCACAGGTCAGTAGCTCTCCTCTCCTTATTTGCCACTCCTCCAATTCTGTTACTTTTTTTTCCTGACATTCTGCTCTCTAAAGCTTCTGAGGTCTTCAAAGCCACTTGCAATGTTCTCTGTCAAGAAACCTAGAGAAGCCTTGCCCTTATATGACTCTAGTGGTGTATCTTCACTGACAGGCTGACACCAGCAAACCCAAAATTGATGTCGCAGTGATAGGGTAACTAAGCAACTCTCATTTAAGAATAAAATCCAAATAAATAAGTCGCTAAGTTCACCCTTGATGTGAAATCCCCAGCTGTTGCTTAATATGTATTCCCAACTATTATATTATTTTAAAATAAAGAATGTAATAAATGATTTATACATCTTCAATCAGGTCTTAAGGTCTTGAGGGTTTTTGTTTGTTTTGTTTTGGAGACAGAGTCTCGCTGTCACCCAGGGTCTGGAGTGCAGTGGTGTGATCTCAGCTCATCACAACTTCCGCCTCCCGGGTTCAAGCGATTCTCGAGCCTCAGCCTCCCAAGTAGCTGGGATTACAGGCGTGCATCATCATGACCTGCTAATTGGAGGGTTATTTTTATTATTATGGCTGCACCCCAGAGATTCACAATGAACAAAACTACCCAAAGTGAATGACAAATAAAACTTCCCCTAGATTTCGCCAAGACAATTGGAGTTCTTATGTTTTCCCTTTATATAGTTTCATTAAAATAAAGATAATGATTAAAGAAGTTCCATGAAATCAAAGACTAGATATGTTTTGTTCAGCATTTGTCTTTCCAAATGCTCTGCACAATACCTGCCACATAGATACTACAATATTTTTTAAATAATTGGGTGGATTAAATAGCATTTTGGTGCCCCTATCTTAAAAAGTAAACTACTTTCCTCAAAAGTTTTAAAACTTATAATATATGCCATGTTTTCCTTTTTTTTTTTTTTTTTTTTTTTTTTTTGAGACGGAGTCTCGCTCTGTCGCCAGGCTGGAATGCAGTGGCGCAATCTCGGCTCACTACAACCTCTGCCTCCCGGGTTCAAGCAATTCTCCTGCCTCAGCCTTTCAAGTAGCTGGGACTACAGGTGCACGCCACCATGCCCAGCTAATTTTTGTATTTTTAGTAGAGACGGGGTTTCACCATGTTGACCAGGATGGTCTCAATCTCTTGACCTAGTGATCTGCCTGCCTCGGCCTCCCAAAGTGCTGGGATTACAGGCATGAGCCACCACGCCTGGCCCATGTTTCCCTTTCATATGCCAATATGACAGTTTGTCCAAAGCCTGGGAAATCCCAGATATTTAAAGTAATGTGTCCAGAGATATGTAAGTTTCTCATTGTTCAAGGCAAAATTAGAATCAGGTCTCCCGAATTCTGGAATTTTTTTTCAATTTCACCAATACAACTTACTCTTATTAAATAGTATTAGAAATTATTATAACCTTTATACTCAACATCGGTGCATCTTAAAGTGACTATTAAGCATCAAAAACCTGAGTGTGGATATCCCATGGGTCAAATAACTAGTTTAATAAATAAATTTTCATTTTTCTATTTGCAAATCATTCTGAATAAAGAAGAAATCCCAAGTGACTGAGACATGCCACGATGAGACAACTGACAAAACAGGAGCTTCCATGGCAAGTACAGTTTCTCCTGAAGTATATTGTGATGGCATGCAAGAAAGCTCACAACATTCAAAACAACTAGAAATTCCCATCTAAAAAGGCTCTGGTAATGGCTACTCTCAGTGGTTCAAAAACAAAAAAATGTCCAGCTTTCATGAGAGAATAGAGAGGACATAATCCATCTCCTGAAGAGTATTCAAAGAAGTTTCAAATCCTGACAATGTCAAAAAATGAATCTACTGGAACTTTTTGAGCTAGTGTTCTAACTTGCCAAATAAAATAAGGTAAGGACTGCCCAGAAATGAGTCACTGCTTTGAAATATAATCTCTCTCTTTTATTTGTGTCACTAAGTCTATTGATGATATGGTTAACCAAGGAGAATTTTTCTATACATGTGTTATGTTGAAAATGTTTACAGTATATTCACCTGTATGTTCTCAGCGTCCACCTGACAGACCCTTTTCATAATAGAAAACAACTATGGCATGGAAAGTATATAGAGCTGTTGCATTTATTTGATCATCACAATTATTTTTAAATTGCTTATTCTGAAAACCATTCTCTGGATACATTCTTTTCATCCAGCAAAAAGCCAGTCATTCAAATTTAACTTATAAAAGTAACCATCAGAGACTATTTCCTTCCTCTTATTCTAGCAGAAAATACTGCATTTCTCAGTTTCTTTTATCTACTCCTCATGTAAGTTGTTGAAAATAGTCTTAGCTTAAATTAGCATTATCAGAGGCATTGACATTACTTTTTAGAAATCTGTAAATTCTCTTAGGCAAAAAAAAAAAAAAAAAAAAAAAAAAAAAAAAAAAAACCTCCAAGGTTATATCAACAATTCTCCCCAAACTAATCATTATCTTTAGCAAAATCATTTCATTAAATAAGAATCTGTTGTACTAAATAACTATTTTATTGCACAAATGTTGCTTTAAGTACTGACACAAGCCTACAGACGCTCGGGGTCATTGGACTCCTGTTGTAAATAAATATTTTCAACAATTTGCAACATCAAATAGTTTATAAAATTACGCTGCCTGGGAAATATTGGCAGGGAAGAACAGCAAAGAGTAGCCAATCTATTCTGAGGATTGTTTTCTAGGTTAATGATGAAAGAAAAAGTGGCAGAAAGATATATCAAATACGAAAATACACAAGAATAGGAAGATGACTGTTTCTCAATATGTGTTCCTAAGAATTAAATTAGTTCAAAATAAATAATGTAATAAGTGATTTATACATCTTCAATCAGGTCTCGTAAAAGAAAAAAATCATTCTCCATTAATACAAGTGCCACAAGAATATTTGTAGACCTGTCTGGTACCCGTACTCAGTCCCCTCAGGGTTCCACTCCTTCTTAGGTCCCCCCTACCATCATTTGCAGTAGTAATCTCAAAAGAGAGACTCAACAGTAATCAAACAAGATCAGTGTTCAGATTCATTTCGGAAACTTTAAAAAAGTAAAAGTCCTAGGGGTGGGCAGGTGAAAGTGCTGTCAGGAGGAGCTAAAGCTCTTGTATCCAAGGTCAGGGTGAGCATAAAAGATGGGTGGAGGTTTGACGCTGAATCTTTTTCAAATTCTGTCTGCAACAGAGTGGATTTCTTTAAAACAGAGCTCTCCCAGACACGGTAAGATTGGATCAGAGGTCTGGCATTCCTGCAAGAGGTAAAAGCCAAGGGTAGCTGAAATGCCTGGGCAGGAATAAGGCAGTACTCCTCTGGAAGGATGCCTACAACCAGGGGGAGTTTGTTGTACACCTGAAACTGCTGATACAGACATCCCAAGATGACCACAAGTTTGGAGAGGCATTTATTCATTCCACAAATATTTAGGAAGGGCCTAATATAAAGAAGCCACCAAAAAATGAGAGAGAAAGCACTAGAGAATCAATTGAAGAGAGAGTAAAGGATGAGGTGCAGGTGCAAGAAGTACAGAGCGGTTTAAATAGCTAATGTGAGAGAGAAAGCACTAGAGAATCCATTGAGGAGAGAGTAAAGGATGAGGTACAGGTGCAAGAAGTACAGAGAGGTTTAAATAGCTAATGTGAGAGAGAAAGCACTAGAGAATCCATTGAGGAGAGAGTAAAGGATGAGGTACAGGTGCAAGAAGTACAGAGCGGTTTAAATAGCTAATGCATGCGAAGCTTAATACCTAGGTGATGAGTTAGTAGGTGCAGCAAACCACCATGGCACACGTTTGGTACCTATGTAACAAATCTGCACATCCTGCACATGTAACCCGGGACTTTAAATTAAATTTAATTTAAAAAAAAAGAAATCCAGACACCAGGTTTACCCAGAGAAGAATAAATGCCTAGTGGATAAGAAAGAAAAAGAAAAAAAGCTACGGGGTGAGGACAACTCGAGATTAGAGATTACTTGAACAGAAGGCAACTCAGAAAAGTATCTGGCAAAAAGTATCTGAAGATGTGAGAAAAAGGATGCAACATAGAATGCAGATAGCCTGTGGAATTCAAAGATGTCAGAGAAGGTCACGCTAAGACCAAGAGAGTGTGGGAAATAAGGAGAGGAAGGGTTTCCTGGAAGGGGTTGGGGCTCCTTTGGGATGCTGGAGAACAGGATGAAAGACAGGGAAGCTGAACTGCAGAACACAGTGCCTGGGAAAGTTTAGGGGAAAGAAAACAGGTGGGTGTGAAGCAGCACTGGGGCTGTCCAGGGGGAACAGTGGTGAAGTAGGGTTCAAGGCTAGAGGTGGGCAGACAGGCCCCCGAATCAGGATACCCCAAAGGAGTGGAATCTTATTCCTTCCCAGTGCTGTAGTCCCCTCTTCCGCCCTAGCCTAGGGGATCCTCTGTCGCCGGAGCCACTGGAACCCTAGGCCGTGCAGGGTAAGGCCGGGCCGCCCCCCAGCGGTCGGGCTCTGCGCTCGCGCCCCGGCTCGCCCAGCGCCAACTTTACAGATCCGCGTTCTCTCCCCCGAAGGCGGTCCCCCCTTCCGCCCCCCGCTCACCGAGGGCGCCGTCAGGCGGCTGATGCTCTCGCCCAGCGAGTCCAGGTTGACCCGCCTCCGGCGCTGCACCCTCCTGGCCCCGGCAGTGGCAGCGGCGGCGGCGGCAGAAGCAGCCGGGGTCGGGGCCGGGGCGGCGGCAGCGGCAGCTGCGGCCGGGCTGGGCTCCAGCGGCCCGGGCGGGCTCCGGCTGCCATTCCAGCAGAGCCTAGACAGGGGGCACTCCCCCTCCTCCTCCGGGCTGGTCTCCAGGTAGTCGGAGCCCAGGGAGCTGAAGGACTCGGACGAAATCTTCCTTCGAGACATGCTGCCGGCGGAGCTGCAGCGGCCGAGGCGGTGGCGGCGAGGACGCGAGCGGCGGCGGAGGCGGCGGTGGCGGGACCGGCAAGCGACAACGTTAAGCGCGTCGGGGCCGCGGGGCGCTGCGGTCGCGCCCGGCGGGGCGGGAGTCCCCGGGGCCGCGGAGCCCCCCGAGCCGGCTGCTCATGGCGGGAACTTGGGGCGCCGCCGCACCTTGGGGCCCGGGCTCGGCGGCGGCGCCGGGCTGGGCTGGGGGCCGCCGCCGCCTCTGCTGCTGCTCGCGCGGCGCCGCCTCAGCGCCCGCCTCGGCGCATCGCCGTGCGCCGCGCTCCCGCTCACGGGGAGGCTCCGAGAGTGTGTGACCGCGGTCGGCGGGGCGGGGAGGGCTGCGGCCCAAGCAGAAGGGGAGGCAGAGGCAGAGGCTTCTGCCGCCTGCGCGCCTATCTCGCCCCCTTTCCCTCTCTGCTCCCGCCTCTCTCCACTTGCTGCCCTGCCTCCCTCCTTCTCCCTTTATCCCCCCGCCCCCCCCCATGCTCTCCCTCCGCGGGAATCACGTGTCGCCATCATACTCATTGGGAGTCTCTGCCTCGCCTGTCGCCACGTTTCAGGAGCAACGAGGACACTTCGTTGCTGTCCTCTGCGCGCCCTCCCTGCTCCGAGGAGGTGCGCACAGGAGCTCGGGTCGGACTGAGGGCCCCAACCCCAAACGCCTTATCCTCGGCCCTCGGGAGCAGATGGGTCCCGGCGGCGCTGGTGGGGAGAAGGGCTCGGGGCTGGGGGGCGAGAGGCCTCCCCCTGGAGCCACCTTGGGGAAACCTGACAGTGTGAAGTGGGGGTTAGGGTCCATGTTGTCCTTTCTCCGAGTTTATTTAGGAAGTTCCGAGGCAAAAGGGAAAGGCCAAGCGTCCAGCCAGCCCACTCCAGAGGAGACGCTTTCAGGGGAAGGGAAGGACAGGGGCAACATTTTGGCGCCCATCCTGCTGGAGCAGCTCCTGGGGACTTGTGTTCCCCGCCTCGTGCGAGGCCGTGTGGGCGCGGAGCGAGCCCAGAAAGGGGCGGCAGTGAGGACAGCGTCTGCTCTGACAAGACAGCACTGTTGCTGAGCCTCAGCCGGGCGGGGTGCGCGGGGCTCCCGGCTCCGCTGGCTCCTCACTAGTGCTGGACAGCTCCGCTTGCCACCTATAGCCGCCTTTGCAGGCGTTGAGAACTGGAGAACAGTTCCTCCTCAAACGACCTAGCACCTGGCCCGGGGGAAACCGGGGAATGATCCCACGTCCCTCATCCTCAGGGCTCTTTGCGCCAAATATGCGATCTGTTTGCACCTGACTGCAAATGCTGCTCAGAAAGCTAAGGGGAGTAGGGATAAATGCTTCTCGAACTGACTCGCCACAGCGCGAGCATGTCTTGCCGCGAGTTTTCAGCTGTGCGGCTTCATTCCAAAGCTTATCTCTTTGCAAACCAGTCCTTCCAGCGCCTGACCCCACTGCCCCTTGCCTTAGCCCCAGAAAACTCTCATACTGGTTCTGAGGATAGAGTAAGAGATGGGAAGAAGGGGCAAATGACAGTATCCCGAAAGGGGTTCCAGGCTGTACTTCCCCCTGCAATGAAGTGGATGAGCACCCTCCCCAGCTCACCCGATCTGCGGAGAGAAAAGTTTAGGGGCTCTGGCTTTAGTTTCCCAGTGAAACCGAAGCCAAAGCGTTTTTTTAATTAAAGAACTGGTCCTTCCAGGTGAAGGCAGATGGGTTTTTGTGGACTGTGTTTATTTAAAAAGCAAAACAAAACCAAACCACAAAACCTGTGCTGTACCCCCACCACAATTTGCTTTTAACTTCAAATCTTCCCAAGTGTTTGTTAGGGCTTAAATATAAATGCTATTTGAGGTTTCATTTGGAAAAATCCACTCAAACTGGTTCAGAGACATACCTTTTTCCCCAGATCTTAAATGGGCTTTAAAGATAGAAAAGTGTGTACTATCACTCAGACACTCCCCCTTCAAATTATATATATATATATATATATATATATATGTGTGTGTATATATATGTATATGTATATACATATACATATGAGAAAGAATATATATAATATATATTCTTATATATATGTATTCTTTCTCATCCTGAGGAAGTTTCTTTTAAAATAATAATTGTTACAATTATTATTTAAACTGTTGTGCATCTACTATTGATTTCCCCATTACTTCAATTAATTCTATGTGCATTTGTGTCCATTGAAAATTAGACTCAAATTACACTTTTAATCATAAAAAATCATCAGTTTTGCTAAAAAAGTTTCACTAGCCCCTTTTTCTAAATTATAATGAAAATTACATTATTCTAACTTTGGGGTAATTGTTTAATATTTCTGCTACACAGTATCAATCAGCATAAAGGATTGGAGTTCCTAGTTCTCTTCTTTGGTACTGATTATATAATAGTCAAGTTCTTTCGAATTATAGGATTTTAGTTAGTATTAAATATACTAAATAGCATGTGTCCTTCACATTCTTTCAATAAACTGCTGCGCACACAAATAAATATTATGGTAACGGCAAATAAACTTCATATTGAACTTAGAATTGGAACTTTTTATTAACCATTCCAACTCTTGTCTCAAAGTCAAAATTATTGAGTGCAAGGCAATGAGTATCATTTGTTTCTAAAATTTGTAAGAGGCCCAAGAGCCTTCCTGTTTACACTGGAAGTTTATTGCCAGAAAGAACTCTGAACCTATGGGACATTTTTTCTTTGTGTGAACCATTTGAATCAAAGACTCTTTACAGAATCTAGCCAGATGAAGTCGTCTTACAATTTTCTCTATGAATTACACCCTGCCTTTGATCATTATTTTCCCATGGATTTTTAAACTATAAACAAATCAAGGCCTAGATATAGCCAGTACAACATCTGCTTTGCTTTCAAGGGTTTCCTTTGTATTTCTGTTCAGGAGCGGGGTTCAAAAGCTCTCAATATGAAGAGTGCTGTGTTTATACTAGAATTGACATTTTTAAAATGAAGCATAGCTATTCTCCATTAAAAAAAAAGAAGAAGAAGAAGGCTTACAGTTAGCAAAAGCAATCTAAATACTTTAGGAAGAGTAGTCTGCTGAGAATGAATAGTCTGTGCTCTGATTTTAGGAAAAGAAGCTTGCCCAAGCTCATACCCACAAATCCAGCCCTGCTGGATATATTGTATTTCAATAAAGTATTTAAAGGCCACTCTCCAACTGGAAAAGAAAAATGCAGAAATATTCTTGGTTTATTTGTGAAGTTGGCGTAGGCACCTGACAACTCAGATTGATCAAGCATTGGGAAAGACTTCCTAAAAAAACAGATTCTTCACTTTAGTCAAGACGATGACTATTTTACATTGAAACATAAAGTAACTATTGTTTGTGCGTGCCTTCCCTTCACATAAATCAATCCTATTTATAAACCCTTTCACTTATATAGCCTCATTTAACCTGATTTTCATCCTTCTCAGAGAAGTTGTTGAAGAAAAGTCACGTGTGTCAAATTCAAATCAAAACCACAATCAGTCCTCCTTCCCAAAATTCTTTGCGTTTCCCAGGTTCAAACTCTTTACTAGTTTCTTTTCATCTAACACTCCAGCAAGAAAATCTGCAAGATTTGCATAAGCGTTCCCTGGAGCAGAGCTCTATCCTGATAGAAGACTGAAGAATTTCTCCCTGTCATTCTTTACATAAATCTGGCAATTCACAGGAATTGTACATGTAATATTAAAGCAAGTTTTCTAAAGAAATATAGTAGCTGGTGAATCCTTAACTAGGGCAAGTTTTTCTGGATCCCTAACCTGGAAAATCACACACACATACACACACACACACTTCACACTGTTCACCTGCTAGTTTAACCCTATGTTTGTGTTCGTGAATGAGATCTGTCTACTCTCTCACACTTAACATACCCCCTCTTTTACAAGAGGGCAAATGTGCTTTCTCTGAGAAATACTGGCAGCAAATAAGAGATACTGTACTTCATATTGTTGCACAATTTTGTAAGTAAAACTAAATATTAAGGAGGGCAAATGTGCTTTCTCTGAGAAAGACTGGCAGCAAATAAGAGATACTGTACTTCATATTGTTGCACAATTTTGTAAGTAAAACTAAATATTAAGGATAATATCAAAGTGAGAAGAACCATCTGCTGTGTTCACATATAAAGGGACACATAGAAGACAATGTAATCCATTGTCCTATAGTTATATTTTATCATAAAACCATCCCAAAGGGGTAGGATTCTTGCTGCTCAAAAAAGGATAGAGGAGGAGAAGGCTGGGGGAAAGGAGGAAAGAAAGAAAGACAAGCAACAAAGTCAATGCTACACTTAGTAGAATTTGTGACCCAGAAAGATACTTAAGGGTGTAATAACTGACTTTTTTTTGATGCATCAAATCCATGACAGCAAGAAAGAGGCAGGTGATCAGTGTATGTTGGTGCCTCTGGCAGACACTACTCTCTCCTTAAGTGGCTTTACATTCAACCATGCACCACAGGAATCCATCCTCCTCTTAAGAAGAGACCCTATTAGTCAACAGTTTGAATACTAATATCAGCACCACAGTCTCCTACAACTCTCAGCCTTTTTGTCTGCATACTCAACAATCCCAGGTCTCTATACACTTTATTTAAATTGGGATTCTTAATCCCAACATAATAGGACATATTTTTCCAATTATAAAGTTATGGAAATTCTGGCACAGAGATTTAAAATATCTTCCAATGTCATGGAGCTGATAAATATTAAAGTCAGAATTCCAATCCTGACTACTAAGCCCATGCTATTTCCACTGAAACACTTTTCCTGCCTGTCTCTTGTCCTCAAATGTCCTAAAAACAGATTTTAAAATATGCTGAATTAAAATCACAATGTGAGTGGGTTATTGCATTAAAATAAATATTAAATACACAATTAACTTGTATGAATTATGTCCTGGAACATAATGTGGAAAAGCACTGACATGTGCAGAAGTTCTACAGTTCTCTGCTGATAACTAGCTCTGTGACCAAAATCAAGTTGTTAACTGCTCTGGGACTCAAACCCTTCACCTCTAAATCAAAAGTGTTGGATAAAATCCTTAGGTTATCATCAATCCTCAAAATTCTGTAATTTTTCTATTTGTTGAACTGTTCATTTCCTTTCCAGATATATCTTGTGCCTAAAAAATGTACCCACATACATCATCATAAGGTTAGATTCTCTTTTTCTTCCCTGTCATATCCTTTCTGAGAATTCAATTCTTATACAGATCCCTCCTTAAACCACCCAAGATCCTCTCCTGATACAAAACTGCCATGAACATGGTCCATGGAATTAAATGGATAAAAAAAAATTTTTCAACTGAATCCTATTTGGTTAGATGCTCACTATCTCTCTGTCTTTTCATAACCTAATTCTTCTGTCTGCTTTATTGTATTATATAAAGGAATTATATCTTCCTGTCTGCAGCTTATTAAGCTTGACAGCTAACAATAATAAGTATGAATTATCAATAAGAATGCCTCAATATAACTTTGTTAATGTTAATAGACACTTACTTAAATATGTCCAATTTATAGTAAATATGCAGTCTGTTATTTAATCATTATTTTAAATAATAAATCTTTTAAAATCCAATTTTAATATGATGACTAGAATTCTTAGAAGTATTAACATTAAGTATGAAGTGTGCTTTTGTCACTAGATAAGAAAACATTAGAAAAATGTTACTAATAATGATTAAGCGGAAATGTAATGGATCCCTTAAGATAATCCATAGGTACAATTTTCTGTTTAAAAACTTGAGAAACAAATGACAGTGGATACCCAATGTTATGATCATTTCTGGAAAACTTTTCAAGTTGGACATTGAAATGAGGTCCTCAGTTATGAATAGATTAGTTCATGCCTAAAAACCCATGTTAATCTTAAAATAATTCTAAAACATTTCTCCACCAAAAGTAGTGAAACTTTTAGAATAAAACTTACGTTTACTCACTTCCGGCAGTTCTCCTTATAGTAAGTAAAACGAGCATTAATTCTTTTTGTATACAAAAATGAACAGCCATCTGTACCACGACTGTGAACTAAAATCAAATGTTCCATTTCTCTGTTTCACATGGGGTCTCATTAGCACCACAGAAGCAGAGTAATCCTTGTTTCCAGATAAGCAATATGTATTCACAATCATCCCAAAGTGAGCCTGTTTCAGTCCTCTCCTTCAGGACCCCCCAGGTGACTGTGTTTCCCTCCACAGCATGCAGACATAAGCTGGAATCATCTCTGCTCAATCTCCAAAAAATTCTTTGGACATCTATCTCAGAGAAGAAAATTCCCAGATTTTCTTGGTTTTCAGGTTTTCTCGGTAATATTTAATAGCACCCTAGGCCAAAAGAAATACCTAACAATTCAATTTAAAATGTAGGCCAGGCACAGTGTCTCACGCCTGTAATCCCAGCACTTTGGGAGGCTGAGACGGGCAGATCACCTGAGGTCAGAAGTTCAAGACCAGCCTGGCCAACATGGTGAAACCCCATCCCTACTAAAAATACAAAAATTAGTGGGGCATGGTTGTGGGCACCTGTTAACCCAGCTACTTAGGGAGCTGAGGCAGGAGAATCACTTGAACCCAGGAGGCAGAGGTTGCAGTGAGCTGAGATTGTGCCACTGCACTCCAGCCAGGGTGACAGAGAGAGACTCTGTCTCAAAAACAGAAAATAAAAATAAAATGTAGCCTGGTCCAAACCATTTAATAATTATTTATATCGTAACAACTTAGCAGCATTTGAAAATGTAATAATGTAAAGTGAAAGAAAAATAATATCTTTATTTCATTATTAACTAACTATAATTATTTAATTATTTTAGCTAATAAACTTGAACACTGCACAACTTTTCAAACCTTGGGATCATATTGGACATTGTCATCCTCATATTTTATTCCACACTGATTTTCCCATGGTTATTGCTCATAATCATAGCAGCCTCCAAAACCCACCTTCACAAATGCATGAAGTGATTAAAATAAGGTAATACAATCCAATGCTAAAACTATAAGCTACCTCAAGCTAATAGTCTGTTTGGTGCTCAACTGACATTAAGCATCACTGCGTTCCTCTCAAAATGTTAAAATATACCTCAGCAGCCATGTGCATCCACTGCACCACCCTAGGACCTGTTGGTACATAGTTTGGAAACCAGGACTCTGGTTGCTCAGCTTCCAAAGTTCTCAGAAAAGCTTGTCTTTTATCTTGATTACAGACTCTGAGTAAATAGGCAATAAGATCTTACAAATATAAAATGAAAATGATGTATTTTAAGTCATTTTTGCTGCAATAATTTTGTATACATAGTGTTGCCTATGCATTTGTGGTTTATAAATAGTGCATTATTCTATATTTAAACATTTTATAGTTTTAACTGATTGTCTATAAACTGAGCTTTAAATACATAATAAGAAACAAAAGAATTTGCAAAGACAAATTATTTGCTTTTGATATTTATTAAACATACAATTTTTTTTTACCAACGGCTATACATGTGATAGATGAGCAGAATATTATCTCATGAAGTATTATTTTTGAAAAGACTTCATACATGTAATTATATACATATATTTCTAAAATTATATATTTTTTAAATACAGACCCTGAAATCTTGGTAACCACTCTTTGTTTGGAAAGAACAGGGAAGTCAAAGGTAGGGCTCATTATTTCCTATAACTTCTATTATCAAGCAAGGGAAAGAAGGCAATTTATTGTATGTTGCTGATAGAGAAACAAAAGCATGCAAAGATTGAGGAAACTGTCCATGGTCCTATGGCACATAGCTAATCACAGGTAAGCTCTTAGCTCTGCAAAATCTCATTTTATAGCTCTAGGGTAGAATGCTGTCTCTAAGAAAGACTATTGCTTGAGGAAAAAAAAATAAATCTGGCTCATTATTTGCAGAGAATTTTATTTCAGTCCTTTTCTCAGGGAGTAATAATAGGTTTGCATTAGTCCAGTTACACATAGCCATCATGGCTAAGTTAACTCATCCATTCATCTCAACACATATTTGAGTAACTGAACGTTTAATATTAAGCCAAACGCAATAAGCATTATAAAGATAATATATGGTTCCTACTTTTGAGAAACTTACACTGTAGTAAGCATAAGGAAAAGTTAAATAACATGAAAAGTTAAATGGCCATAGAAAATAGTACTAGTTAAGATGTCATATGGAAAATAAGTAATATAATATTCTAGGAGAAAAAGAAATATAAACTCTAAATATTTGCTTATGAAGGAAATGGGGCTTGAACTAGTCTTTGAAGAATGGGTAAAATTTTAATAGATGGAAATGAATTAATTGGGCATGGAGAAGAGAAAGAGTATGTTTTGTTTGAAAATGCTATGTATCACATCCAAACTGGATAAAAGAATGCATACTGAGAAATGGCAAGAAATAGAATAAGAAGATAAAGACCAGATTGGGAAAGGTTGACTGAACTTTCTCTGACAGGCATTGAAAAAAAATAATTTTAACTTTTTGACCTGGGAAATGATACAAATAGAGTTTTGTATAAGCCAATAAAAGCTACTCAGTCATCTATGAAGTTCATAATTCCCAAGAACATAAACCAGCAGGGCAGACTGCCTCAATGTCCAGGAAACCAGTTGCAAACCATTACTGAGGTATGTGCAGCCTGAGTGACAGACTGAGACACTGTCTCTAAAAAAACAGAAACAAAAAACAAAGTTTCTTTATGCTCTTCCCCCTTCACATATACACACACATTTTTATATTAGTCAAACTTGAAGCACACCTGCTATAAATTATTTGCTTATTGTATTGTCCAAGAATATAATTCCAGTCAATAAAGTATATCACCTCCTTATCTCCATTTACTATTTGTCGAAATTGGCTAATTTTCCAAGCATATCAGTCTTTAATAGACCAGCAGGATGAAAAGTTAACCTTTACAGAAACCATTTTTAAAAAATAAAAAAGGTTTAAAATTCCCCCAAAACCTAATAAATGCCACTTCTGTGTTAGGGTCAGTGATGAACAGACCCAAAATTTCTTAATTTGGTGTCCCAATATAATAACTTAGTGGATTCAGTGAAGAGGATTTTAAACCAGATTGATCAATAATAATTCCACCTTGACTCATACCAAATATAGTGTGCTCTTATGTTCAATCTAATACATTTCTTTTTTCTATCAGAGAAAAAGGTTTTCAGCTTGCTACCTTTGTTTTCAACTACTGGAAAGAGAATGTTCATCCCTACAAACTGAAAAGACTAGCTCTCAGGAATTTATTGTCAATTAGTGAATCAGGGTAAACATACACAATGAACACTTGCAGCTAGGTTCAGAATGTATTAGAGGCAGGGAAGAGAATGGAGAAAGACAGATGTATGTGTGAATATTGAGATTTGTCAAGATGACTGCAGAATATCTGAAGAAGGGAGGTGGATATCATGTGCTCAGCTGTAAATACAATTCTAGAACAAAGATTGGCCAACAGGAGTTTGAAATCACTAGACTGGAATGAAACCAAAGCAATGACTAGATGTATTTGCTAGAGGCACATAATATAAAGAAGAGCAGCTTAGGAGATAACATTTGATTAATAAATTAATGAGCATTTTAACAAGTGGATTATTTGCGAAGAGAGCACAACTGAAAGTGCTTACTACTGTATTTGAGAAAACAAATGAAAAATGAAGAAGAGTCATTCCCAGCCATCCCATATACACTGTTCATTTTATAAGGCAGTAGCCACCATTTGTAGCTTTGTTTAAAAGTGCCTCAAAAAGAGGTCCAAATGATTTGAGTGTAAATCCAAATGTCCCATCCAAATATCATAATTAATTACTTCAAAACTGTCTTTTAATGAGATAACTAAACATTAAAACCACTGAAGGGAAATGCTTGTCTTGCTCTCTATCAGTAATTCTTCTCATTGCTTCTTCATTTTTCTTAGTTTACATGGTGCTTGTATTTTCAGGAGGTTATGTAATGAACCATAATAAAATTAATTGTCTCCAGGCTGATGAGGTCATAGATTTTCAGTGTCGTTGAGTCCCAATTATTTTAGCAGAATTTCTTCCTCAGTTGTTCGCTATTTGGTGCCCTATTTCAAAAATGAGCACTTTTCCTTTTTGCTGTTTGCTGTTTGCTTTTTGTTGGTAGTTTTCCATTAGAAAAAAAAAAGTGCCTTATTCTTATTATATAAAATGACATAATTTCTGTGCAATCTATCCAGATTGAAAAATAAGTCACTGTAATCACTAATAAATAGTTTCAATTTATAAAATAGATTATAATATTCTTCACACATCTGGGAATTAAGTAAACATGAGCACTGGCAAAACTAGATTGTCACTCAAATTCACTGGAGTATAGCACTAATAACAGGAGCAGCTGATACGAGATTGGAGCAAGGTCCAGCATTCTCAAACAAAGCTATACATTTTTTAACAAAGAATAACAATCTTTTTTCCAGGGTATTGGTCCTCTGTTACTGTGACACAAAATAGATATATTCCTGTTGGGTAAATTGACAATTTGGAATTTGTCATTGGTGCTTTCCTGCTTGAATGAATATGTATACAAACAGAAATAGATTTCCCTTCTATTACTAGTTATTTATAAGAAATTTAAATTGTATAAAGGCATTTTACATTTTCTCTTCATTATACCTTCAGCTTACTTATATTGAACAAGGCAAAAATAGAAAAATGCTTTCATAGGGACAATAAAAGCATTCTTCTATTAAACATTAATATCATGATTTCATATTATTTTATGTAAGGCAATTTCTTATCAAGACAGGAATCCATATTACAGGTAGAATTCATTTTCTTTCTTCAGCATGGTAATTGCCTCCACTATGATTATTATCTAAAGACTTAGAGGTAATATCTTCATGCAGAAAATACAAAGACTGTTTCTAATCTTGTTGAGAAAATGATAAAAATGAATATGCACACATTTCTTCATTCAAGAGCATTTATTGAGTAATATTTTGTGCCAGGAACTGTGCTAGACATTGTGAAGAGAGAAGAGTATAAAACACAATCTTTCTCTTCAAGTATCCAGCAATAGAGTAAAACACACATACATATACACAAGCAGCAGAAACAGACACACAAACTGATATTTTTTAGACTGCTAGGTTTAATAGTGGAAATACACACAGGATATAGAGGAGCACTTAATACTAACTTAGGGAAAAGGGAGTTTAAATACCTTCTTAGTGATTATGTCTGAGCTGAGTTTTAAAGAACAGGTAGGATTTTAAAGATGGGGAAGTTAAGGGAAGGGAAGTCTAGGCAAAGATTAGCCAGAGTAAAAGCACAAGATTGAGAAAAACAGGTATGCACCAAGAAATACAAGGATGTCAGGGCTGCTAAGAGTATTGAATTAAAGCAGGATATGGCTCAGAAGAATATGGTAATAAGAAGTACACAGAATCCAGATCACAGAGAACCTTGTTGAGGAATTACTATTGAATCTTAGAAAGATCATGTGACATTGAGGACTATAGACTTGAAGAGCCAAACTTAATTATCAGGGAAAATAGTTAGGAGGCTATTTGAGTAATCCAGAAAAGATAAAAGGAACTTGCCTAAAGTAGAAAAAACTGAACCCCACATTTAAACTCCAATTCTCTTGTTATGTAACCTTGCAAAACGTTCTGACTTCTCTATGCTTTAATTTCTTTATCTGTAAAGTTGATATCATAATGCTTAAGAATTATGCACTATCATTCCATTCTGCAAATGGGAAAACTGATCATTGAAATAAGGAAGATTTAGAGGGGACATATTAGACAAAAAGATAAGTTAAATTAACAGGATGCAGCAACTGCTTTAATATGGGAACTGAGAGAGTGGTGAGATTTAAGAATGACCACATATTTCAGTTTTGGAGACTATTAACTGATATAAAAAACATAGGAAGTGAAAATGGCCTGGGGGACGTGATAAGGTCTACTTCTTATAATTGAATTTTACATAAATCCAGGTGAAAATGTCTAGCAGGCAGTTGGATGTATGGATCTTGAGTGCAGAACAGAAAGCTGGGTAGAATACACGGATATGAAAATCATCAACATTTAGTTTAATCAAAACTGTAAGAATGAAGGTGATCAACAAGAGTGTAGTAGGCTAAATAATAACCTCCCTGAATATCTCAACATCTTAATTCCTAGAATTTGGGAATATGTTAGCTTATATGGCAAGATGGAATTTATAGATGTAATTAAGTTAAGAAATTTGAGATGGAGCAATTATTCTGGATTATCTAGGTGGGCCCAGTGTAATCACAGGCTTCTTATAAGAGGAATGCGGGAAGAATCAGAGTTAGAGGAGAAAGTGATGTGATGACAGAATTAGAGATTTGAGTGATATGACATTGAAGATGGAGAAAGGGGCCACAAGCCAAGAAACATAGGAGACTTCTAGCAGCTGCTAGAAACACATCCTTCCCTCACCGCCTAAAGAAGTAACAGCCCTCCCACCGCCTGGACTTTTGTCCAATGAAACTGATTTTGGACTTCTGACCTCCAGAACTGTAAGAACATAAGCTTCTGTTGCTTTAAACCACTAAGTTTGTGGTTGTGGTAAGTTGTTACAGAAGCAATAGGAAACTGATACACAGAGATAGTGTACTGAAAATACAAATAAAAATACTTGAGTAACACCAACATCTAAGATGGCTCTCAGAGGAAAGAGAGAAAGACAGGCCAGGCAAGCACAATGAGGAATCAGAAGAATGTCATGTCAATAAATTTAAGAATGGAAGACTCCATAGTTAAACATGGTAAAGTAGTCCAATAATAGCTTTTAGAAATGGAAAACATTCATTGGATTTGTCAAGAAGTCTTTGGAAAACTTAAAATAGTTTTAGTGAAGGCTGGAAGCCAGTTTGCAGTGAGTTGAGCAAAGTGAAAATTAGAAAGTAGAGATATCAAGTATACACTATTTTATGTTCTACCCTGATTTCTATATAGAGATAATATAAATTTATATTTATATATAATCACCCAACTGTGCTGACAACTGATAATCAACAGGTATATTTTGTTGGTGTTCTCCAGAGAAACAGAACCAATAGGACATACACACACACACACACACACACACACACACACACATATATAATGTGTCTTATATCTTATTATTACCTATCCTATTATTTATATATATGTTATAAATATATATAATGAAATTTATTATAAAGAATTGGCTGATGCAATTACGCAGGCTGATAAATCCCATGATCTGCTGTCTGCAAGGTGGAGACCCAGGAAAGCTGACAGTGCGGTTTGAAGGCCTGAGAGCTGGAGGGCAATGGTACAGATTCCAGTCTAAGTCTGAAGGCCTGAGAACCAGGAGTACCAAGAGCAGGTGAAGATTGATGTCCCAGCCCCAGCAGTCAGGCAGAGAACAAATTCAGACTTGCTCTAGCTTTTTGTTTTATTCAGACCCTCAGTGGACTGGATGGTGTCCACCCACACTGGGGAAAGCCATCTACTTTACTCAGTTCCCCAATTCAAATGCTAATCTTCCGGAAACACCCTCATAGACATACCCAGAAATAATGTTTAACCAGATATCTGGGCATCCCATGGCCCAGTCAAATTGACACATAAAATTAACCATCACAACAAGTAAAGGTCCTGGGTATCCAGTCAGATACTATAGGATAGCAGAGGGGTTTGAGGATGTGCAGCATAAGAATATGTAGAAGATGTTAATGAGGCCTCAGAGAAAAGGGAACACTTACATACTGTTGGTGGGAATATTAATTAGTTCAGCCACTGTGGAAAATAATTTGGAGATTTCTCAAAGAACTTAAAACAGAACTACCATTCAACCCAGCAATCCCATTACTGGATATATACCCAAAGGAAAATAAATCATTCTACCAGAAAAGATACATGTACTTGTATGTTCATCACAGCACTATTCACAATAGCAAAGACATCATATCAACCTAGATGCCCATCAGTGATGGATTAGATTAAAAAAATTGGTACACATATACCATGGAATACTATGCAGACATAAAAAGAATGAAGTCATGTCCTTTGCAGCAAAATGGGATGCAGCTGGAGGCCATTATCATAAGCAAATCAATGCAGGAACAAAAAACCAAATACCACTTGTTCTAACTAATAAGTGGGAACTAACCATTGAGTACACACAGACATAAAGATGGGAACAATAAACACTGGAGACTACTGGAGAGGGAAGAAGGGACAAGATCAAGGCTGAAAAACTGCCTGTTAGGTATTGTGCTCACTTCCTGGGTGATGAGATCATTCATACCCCAAACTTCAGCATCACACAATATACACAGGTAACAAATGTGCACGTGTACCTCCTGAATCTAACATAAAAGTTGAAATTATTTTTAAAAAAAGAATCTGTGAAAGAAAGAAAAAACTGGATCAAATCCCTACAGCATAGAGAGATGCTTGAAAGACATTGAAGCAGCAACAACAAAAAAAATGGAAAAAAATAAAAATAAAATTAAAATTAAAAATAAAATAAAAATAAAAGTCCCCCCACCCCCACTTCCAGGCCTTCAAAATTAACTATGAGAGGAGAAGAAAGATATGGGCATCTTGAAGACATTAATGGAGTTGTCCCTTGCTATCCATGGAGGATTGGTCCTAGGACCCCCACAGATACCAAAATCCATGGAGGCTCAAGTCCCTTATACAAACGGTGTAGGGTTTGCATATAACCTAAGCACATCCTCCTGAGAACTTTAAATCATCTTTAGATTACTTATGTTATCTAATACCATGTAAGTACTATGGAAATGGTGTTATACTGTATTGCTTAGGAAGTAATGACAAGGAAAAATGTCTATACATGTTCAGTACAGACATAACCATCCTTTTTTGTTTGCTTTTAGTATTTCCAATTCACAGTTGATCGAATCCATGAATGAGGAACCCACAGATACGGAGGGCCAATTGTATTAGTAAACACCACTGGAGTAAAGGGGGCAGTACTAAAGCAAGATCAGAGTGTTATATCTGGCTTAACCAGCTAGAATGCTAGTTGAAGAAAAGTAGATAATAGCTTTAGTTATATAAGTAAAGTTTTATATATAGCTTTATTCTATGGGTTTTTTAAGCAGTGAAAATATCAGGGCTTTATTAGGTAAAGAAAAAAGTGAAATATGGAAGCCAAAAAAAGAGAAAATATGACAAATAATCATCATAGGAATATCCAAAAGAGTTAGTAAAAGAAGTACTTATAGCAGACAAAGTTTTCAGATTAAAAATTTGAAGGAGGAGGGATTAAGATGAATAAATTGTTTTGAAAAAATAAACCTCAAAATACACTTCAGCCATTTAATAAATTAGTTCAATGTTTTGTCGGTGATATGCCAAGTCCCTAGCACCTATATCCACCAAAAGTAGCACTACATGAGTAATATCTGGCACAGGGTAAGACATTTTCCATCGAATCCTTTGACTTTTATAATATTGGTATTTCCTTCTGCATTTCATGCGAAGGTATTTCCCAAGCCATTGTAAAACATTCTGTAGATACTATGTGTACACACGGATATGATGTGTGTATACATACTATTCATTTATTTTCTAGCTCTGTCCACAGAAAGGGTCTAAAGGCAATGACACCCAGTTTTAATAAACACATCCAGTATCAAGATCTTGGTTTCTAAATGCAATTTCCAGTAAATGAAACTAGGAGTCCTGGAAAAAAACAGCTGATTCTAGGGCCAGCACAGGAAAAATATAAGATGAGTCTAGAGCGGCCGGGTGCGATGGCTCACGCCTGTAATCCTAGCACTTTGGGAGGCCGAGGCAGGCGGATCACGAGGTCAGGAGATCAAGACCATCCTGGCTAACACGGCGAAACCCCGTCTCTACTAAAAATACAAAAAATTAGCCGGGCGCGGTGGCGGGCGCCTGTAGTCCCAGCTACTCTGGAGGCTGAGGCAGGAGAATGGCGTGAACCTGGGAGGCGGAGCTTGCAGTGAGCCGAGATTGCCCCACTGCACTCCAGCCTGGGTGACAGAGCAAGACTCCATCTCAAAAAAAAAAAAAAGAGTCTACAGCATCTTGTAATGTCAAAAAGTAAATAAGCACTAAAAAGGAAAATAAATAGGGGTTATTTATGTGAAAAAGTCACTGGAGCCAACCCAAAAGTGCTCGCAAAGTCCAAACAAAGCTAGAAATTTGAACAAAATAATGGATTATTAGAGTCTAAAACAAAGTATGAAATAAATACCCATGAGTCCATACTGATAAATATAAATTATTGAAAAAATAAGTAAATGGATAGAAGATATAAATCTTCTGTACAGAAAATTTCCCTTTAATATACGTAAATAATGCCCACTCCAAGAGAGGGAGCTTAATTCCCATGATGCCCCTTGTCCCCACCACAGACACATGTTGAGTGTGAACTAGACTTAGTGACTCGCTTCTAAAGAATAGAATGTGAAAAGGGAAAAATAGTAATCTCACAGTGGAAAAACCCAGCAGACATCATCTTATCCGAGTCATTAAGGTTAACGTCACCAGTGATAAGTCATATTGATACTATGTCCCTCTAATATGTTGTGATGGGAAGGACACTCCACTTCTACAGTATTTCTCTCCAAAAAAAACTATAACCCAGGTTAATAGTGTGAAATGCATCAGATAATCCAAATTGAGAGACATTCTACAGAATTTTTGACCAGGACTCTTCAAAGCTATCAAGATCATGAAAAACAAGAAAAGACTACGAAACTGACTCAGGCCAGAGAAGACTAAGGATACATGATAACTAAATGCAATATTCTATCTTTTGGATTGAATCCTGAAACAAACAAAAAGGACATTAGCGGAAAAAATGGTGGAATCCAAATGAAGTCTAAAGTTTAGTTCATAGTAAGGTACCAGTGTTCATTTCTTAGTTTTAACAAATGCACCATGGTTGTGAGAGTTGTTTAACAGTAGGGAAATCTGGGTCAAGGGTATATGGAATCTTTGTATTATCTTCACAACTTTTCTGTAAATGTAAAATTATTCCAAAGTAAAATGTGGAATTTTTTTTAAAGTTTGTTGGCAAGTTTTAAAATGCAGAATTTAACATTTGAGATAGTGAAATGTAACCACAGTGGTGAATGATTTTTTAATGCCAAGATCTAAATATATTAGCTCCATCATATTTATGACCAATAAAAGTCCTACAAAATGTTTTGATGACCTATGGTAGTGATAAATTCTACATTCTCCTTTCAGAAGACATTGTGTTCTTCCTACTACAAGATGATTTGAACAAACTCCCCTTTTTCACTTTGAGAAAGAGGGTTTTAAGCCAGAATTATCTATCTGTAGGTGAGTCTGGGTCAAGGGCAAAGTGTTGATACGGATATTTAATTTTAGGGCACTCTACAGGGTGAAATCTTCTGTAATTAGTTTTAATTACTGGAACAGAGTATGACCAGCATTTTAAGACATCATAAGAATGAGAGCAAGAAGGGGTCTGGGGCAATGATAGCTCAAACATTCTATTATCATCTATTCAATACTTTTTTAAAATTTAAGCTGAATATCAACTGAGCTACAAACAGCTAAATGTACCACATAACTGAGGTCTCTCCCTGCTTTGGTCAGCACTTTGTTTTTGTTTTTGAGATGGAGTCTTGCTCTGTCACCCAGGCTGGAGTGCAGTGGGGCAATCTCGGCTCACTGCAAGCTCCGGCTCCCAGGTTCACGCTATTCTCCTGCCTCAGCCTCCTGAGTAGCTGGGACTACAGGTGCCCGCCACCATGCCCGGCTAATTTGTTTGTATTTTTAGTAGAGACGGGGTTTCACCGTGTTAGCCAGGATGGTCTCGATCTCCTGGTCAGCACTTTTAATGACTCTTATACCTATTATCACAGACAACTGCTTAACATAGAAAACTCTGAATATTCATTCATTCCTTCTCACTACATAGTTTAATCCCCATACTACTTTGTCTTTCCTCTCCAAGATTCTTCTTTGCACTCTTGACTGCCGTTCTCGATTTTTTCATCATACCCTCCAGATTTCTGGTAGTATTGTTAATAAATACGCTTATTAGGTTAGGTATACTTCCAAACAATGAAATACTACTTTACACCCACTGGAATGGCTAAAATGAAAGCTGACTATAGGAAATGCTGCTGAGTATGTGGACAAACTGGAAACTTCTTATATTATTATTTATAGTAAAAATTGTATAACTACTTTCAAAAACTATTTGGCAATTTCTTATAAAGTTAAAAATACACCTATACAAGGACTCAGCAATTCCATTTTTGGGTTTATATATAAAATAAGTGAAAGCATATGTCTTCAAAAAGATGTGTATGAGAATGTTCATAGCACTTTTATTCAGAATAGTAAAAAATCATAAGTGACTTTAGCATCCATCAATAGAATGAATAAACAAACTGTGATGTATTATACAAGAAAATAATACACTATAAATAGCCACACTATTGATATACTCAACAACATGGATAAATTTCAAAAATGCTCTGCTGAGCGATAGAAGCCATACATAAAACAGCCAATTCCATTTATATCAAGTTTAAGAAGGGGAAAAATTAACATATTGTGATAGAAATTTAAAAAGTAGTTGCTAGGAATAGGAATGTGGGCAGGATGAATTGACTGGAAATGGGATTAAGGTGAATAGAGAACTTTCTAGGGTGATGAAATTGTTTTATATCTCAACTTGGGTATTGGGTATACAAGTAAATATATTTGTCAAAATGTGTCAACGGAAAACTTATTATCTGTGCATTTACAAAAACCTAATTACTAAAGAAGTCATTTCTGTCCTAACTAATCTATACTTAATATCTAGTATAGCACTGAGTCCAGAGTCTGTGCTCAGTGAATAGTCAATTAATGAATAAATAAATATTATCAATATAATTTTATATTTATGAATATTTAGCACATAAGACCAGATTTCAAACTCTTTGGATGCACATTCCTCCTAACCCAGTGAATTTCTTCAGTTCTATCTGAGCATGCTAGCTTAGGGTTCCCCAGTCATAGAGGTAGGAGAAGGTATAGAAAATGGAAAAACACCCTCAGCATTTCAGTTACCTGATAAAAATGAGAGACAGATGAAAAGGAGGCAGATAGAAGGAGAAGGAGAAGAGATAATGTCTATGACATGGGGAGAGAAACAAAGGCTAGAGAGAGGTATTTCATCACATGGAACGCTAGACCAATCTTTTTAAAAGTACTATTTTATGTCATATATGCAGATACATAATCAATCAGTACAATAATTTAAAATGCAAAAAGGCAAACTCGCTATTTGGGCAAGAAAAAAATGATATATACACCCACTAAAGTAGATCATTTGGGAAGAAGAAATACTTCTTCCAGAGTTGTTTTAAAAAATATTAGAATGGCATGAACCCAGGAGGCGGAGCTTGCAGTGAGCCGAGATTTTGCCACTGCACTCCAGCCTGGGCGACAGAGCAAGACTCCGTCTCAAAAAAAAAAAAAAAAAAAAATTCACTTACTAAAGTTTGTAAGCTTTAGATGGTTACATACTCATTTTCCCATCACAACAGCAGCAGCAACAATCACAAAATTAAAATCAGGTAAATGCCTGCTCTGATAGACCACAAATATCATTGTCTACTTATAATTTAGCCCCATCTTGTGGTAGTCCAGGAAACTGGACTAAAGGCTGTCACTGTCCGATTGTGTTTTTGAAACTATAGGCATAAATGATACTATTCCAGTTAGGTTTAAGCCAAAAGAAACTAGACTAAGAGGACTACATTTCCAGTTAGTCAAGGGTTTCCCACTCCTTAGCTATACAATAAAGACATTCAAAGAAGTCTGTGAAATACTTTTGTTTCCTTGGACAAGCCACTTCTCTCAGAATAGTTATTTTCACAGAAGACCAGTGCTAAGTAACACAAGCCTTCATGTAACGTTTCTCCTCTGCCTCAGCAAACCAAAAGCAAAAAAGCTCAAAATCTGTCTTTGGGAACTAGTTAGGGAAAGTCAAACCACTTGAAAAGAACAGAATAATGTTGTTCTATCATCTCTATAACCATTAAAATTTTGAAGCAAATGACAGTTTACAATACTATTAACAAAGACATTTTAACAAAGATTCATGGTGATCAGTGACATTCAGCTAAAAGATTAAATTGGAATTTATTTCTTTGATTTTTCTTTTTTTTAACATTCAAAATTATATGGGGAAATGCATTTTCACCTGCCCTTTGGCAGTAACAGTGCTGCCGTTTTTGGAAGTGCCATTTAGAAATGTCTTAAGCCTGACCTTTCAGCACTAAATGAAACTTGTTCTATGTAACCAAAAATAGATATTTCTTTTAATCTAATTTAGAAAGTTGACCATAATATGACTCTGAATGTCATGATTACGATTATAAAATTATCAAAATGAGAATTATTCAGACATGACCATATAACTCAATTTCACTGGATTAGATACATCAGTAATTTACAAAAATACTTTTATTTGGATCTGTGTCAAGGTAGCCTGCAAATTTAAGTATGAAGATCAATGTGAATTATAAGCATACTTCAAGTACTATTGCCCGGTACTGATTTATCACACCAATGACATGACGTAATACCACAAAGTTCAAGAAACCCTTTCCTATACCATCACTTAACTTTAAAAGGAAGAATATGTAGCTAAAGTAAACAACAAAACTTGGGATAAACAGACATACTCTTGCTTAATGCAATAACATAGGTTCCTGAAATTTAATATACAAGTCTCATAAATTTGGTAATATTTTCATATTGATTTAAATGTTTTATTTTTATTTTCAATTCATCATAAGTTGACCTATAAATGTACTGAGGTTTTCATATTTTAAAAGGTGCCCACCTAACGAACCTATGCTAGAACAAATAATAATTTTGGAATAAAAATATTCTTCTTAATGCAAAACTAGATGCATCAAGCTAACAAAATGCATCTAATTTTGTAGAATTCCTTAAAGCAAGGCAAATCTTTGCTATAAACATGAAGTTGCATTGCCTCTAACACTCCCTTTCCACTGCATGACATAATTCCCATACATTTCTCACTGGATTTTATCCCCATTAACACTGTTGGGAAACCATTTTCATAGATAAATGTGTCAGTTAACTAAAGGTTTTCTTTAAAAAAGAAATAAAATTTTAATGTCTATATTTTAGGCACTCTTGAAATGTGTGTGTCCATGTTTGCATGTGTATGTGCTTATTCCCTCTGACTTCCATTTTTACAGGCAGGTGTAATTATTAAACCTCTCTTCTTACCCAAATATGTAACACAATCTCATTTTCTCCCCACTTACCCTAGGTTCTGCTCTCCTCTCCATTTATCCTCTGATTCTCTTGCTTTCTCTTTCCTCATCTCTCCTCTCTGTTTTTTTTCCTTTTTTTTTTTTTACTGCCATATCATAAAAATTCAATAAATAATGTAATTCTTTTATCTTCCTTATTTTATCTCTATCTCTTTATACTCCTTGATTTTATCTTTCTTGATTGCCTGCATGATAAAGCTAATTCAATAAGTAAATCCTGTGTGTGTGCATAATTATATATTACTAAAAACTTTATATTCAAAAAATATAAATCATTCTATTATAAAGATACATCCATGTTTATATTCACTGCAGCACTATTCACAATAACAAAGACATAGAATCGGCCTAAATGCCCATCAATGATAGACTAGATAAAGAAAATGTAGTACATATACACCACGGAATACTATGCAGCCGTAAAAAAGAATGAGATGGAGCTGGAGGCTATTATCCTTAGCAAACTAATGCAGGAACAGAAAACCAAGTACTGCATGTTCTCACCTATCAGTGGGAGCTAAATGATGAGAATACATAGGCACTTAGAGGGGAGCAACACACGCTGGGGCCTATTACAGGGTGAGAGTGGGAGGAGGGAGAGAATGAGGAGAAATAACTAACAGATACTAGGCTTAATACCTGGGTGATGAAATCATCTGTACAGCAAACCCCCGTGACACAAGTTTACCTATGTAACAAACCTACACATGCACCCCTGAACTTAAAAGTTAAAAAAAGAACTTTAATGATAGCTCAGTACAGAAGAAATGTATTAATACTTAGAGCTTTTGATTATAAAGTATTTTAAAATACTTTAAAATTACATACATATAGTCAATTCTCATTATTTGTGGAAGCTATGTTCTATAAAGTTGCTGTGAGCATTGAATTAGCAAACACTGAAACATTGCTCCTAGAGGAAATACAAAGTGAAGTTCCTGCAAGCTTCTGGTCACAACATTTTTATCAACCAATCAATATATAGCCTTGTTTAATGATGTTTCTACTTTAAAACCTCTTGTTTAATGTATATCATTGATTCAATAACATTGAATTAGCAGCCAATAAAACTGTAACCCCTGCCTGAAGAAAGTTCCAGTAACCCATATGTGTTCTCCCTAAGGCACATCATAGTGTTATTATGAAGCAGGAAAAAAACAAGCCTTGTACTAGGCTGACACACTCCAAGACCCAGTGATAGGCAGAGCTCTGGCATGGCTTTGATAACACTATCTGCAGAGCCAGGGCCCTCAAGGGATGAGCCCCAGAGCCCCAGAGCCATCCCATCCTGGAGCAGGGATGAGAAAAACAAGTTCTTCTCCCCTTTTAGCTTCCCCCTTCTCCCTTACCATTCTCGTGATTATTTTTGTAAGTTTGTAGGAGTTTTGCAAGTTCCTGCTTTCCCATCTGTGCAGTATGGCAAAGGTCACAAGACACGCTTGAGTTGCAGTGTCTGTCACTGTTTGATAAACTGCCTTTGTTCTGCTTCTGTAAGCTTGCTTGCCCACCCTGCAGGTTTCACACCACTAAACTGGCCAACCCCCTTCAGTTGCATGTATAAAAGTCAAGCCCTGTCTTTGTTCAGGGCTCAGCCTTTGGATTTTAATTCACTGGACTGGTGGCCAACTAAATAAAATCCTCCTGTTCAACCTATTGGTCTCTCCCATCCCTTAATTCCCACAACATTTCCACTTAGGAACACTAGATAGCATGTTGGCACTATACTTACTATAAACAAGGAAAATTACCAAAAAAAACACAGAAGATGTGCTCAATAAACCTCAAAAAAATACTTGTTTGTAGTATGATAGCTGAAGCAGGAAAACAGAACATAGCCTTGTTTGACCGCAGCTGGGAACACATGCATTGGGTGACTCATTTTTCTCACTGCTCTTTGCATGTCTGTGAATGACCACAAAAGTGATACAAGTACTGATTGTGGGGTTGCAAATAAATTTTAATGAGTAGACAAATTTGCAAATACAAAATTGACAAATTATGAGGATCAACTGCACTTTGGTTGCAAAGATATATAATGTTACGATTTATAAAACATATTTGGGTATAAAAACTTCAAGACAGCATTCTGTAGGGAAAATGGAACAAAAATACAAGACATGCAGAAAAAAATGATGTATTATTTTTGACTATTAAATAAAAAATTGTTCCATGTATTTTATAACTGGGTGACAATCACTTCATACTATAGGATACATTCAAAAGACTAATATAATTGGTACATTAGATACATCAGAGATGTTACATTTGAAGCTATTTAAATTTGTAATGAAAAACTTTACATGTCAACTTAAAAATGCATGAATGGGTGCAGATTTGTTGAAAACTTTCATAAAGTTCATGACCAAAGATGAAAAGAGACCTTTGTGCCTGATTTTGAAACTGAAGTCTCAGAATAGCTATGTGATATTGGACAAGTCCGTTGTATTCTCTGTCTCTTAGGGTCTTCATATTATAGGAACCAAATAGCTATCTGAAGGGATTATTCTTATGAGGCAAATAAAATAATACAGGAAAAATTTGTATAAAATTTATAATTGCAATAATTAATAATCATAATAATATAATAGCTACATGATGCTAGGACATTGGTAATTCAAAGGTGCCCGAATTCCTATTGGTCTGCGAAAGCATTAATAAAACTGTAGAGCTGTCTTTCATCTTTTTTAAAGAATGACTAGTGGAAATCACACTTACATCTCAAAAAAGTGAACAAAGGTCTAAAACCATTTTTTTCTCTCCTAGCTATAATGTTTCAATTGATCAGAACTTCTGAATTATGGCTGCTGTTATTAAATTGGGAGTACATTTTATTTAATACAGGTGGTTTGATAGAGGACAATTTTTCAAAACATGGTACGTTTGACGGAGATAAAAAATAAAAGACATTCTTAATGATTAAAAGAACAGAAATATTTTATAATTAAGATATCAGATTTTTATTTATATTTTATTTATATATTATTTATTTATATTTTATTTATTTTTTATATTTTAAAATTTTAATATTATAATATTAAATTTATAAAATTAAAATTATAATATAAAAATATAATATTTTATAATATATATTTATATATATTATTTTAAATAATACAAAATATCATTTATATATTTTTTATTTATAAATTATTTTATAATTTAAAATATCAGAGTTCTGCTGGGGTTTTGCCACATCTCCCATAGAAAGACAGCACCTACATTTCCCTCCAGCATACATTCCTACGAAAAATGCTGTTTTGTTGGGAAGAGAGTAAGCCTTCTAAAATGTAAATGAAGATAAATCTGTGCCTATTTATAGCAAACAGTAAGCTGATGGCATGTAATTAATTGTACACAGTAATGAGGAGATATTTTTTGCAGCTCAAGAACATTCTAAGCCAGTCGTTCCCACAGTCAGGGGAGATCATATCACACAATCCCATCTGGCACATACAAAATCATCCTCAGCTCCTTGTCCACATTATGCATCTGTACATCCTAGCAAACGTGACAGATCAACGTGACTGACAACAGACAGATCTAGCTACTTGCCTACAGCAATGAAACTCCCTTGGCCAAGAACACGGGAGCAGTGCAGTGCATTACAATGAAGCTTCCTAGTCACTGGCCTGATGTTGGTAATGCTTCTCATTTGTCTTTGTGCCTGCCTTTTTTTCTGGAAGCTGCTTAAACCAGCACCTGCTCCCATCACAGAAATGCAACAACTAAATACCAACTTACTAGTTAAACAAAGTCAGTAATGCGATCAAGGGAGATATAAAACAACTATTAAGAAATGAAGTACTCTTCTGTCAGTTCACACAGACCACTTTATTAATGTCACATTTGGTTCAGCTTTACTAAGGAGACAGGCTAAATAAGAACTCCACCGCAGAGCATCTTTAGGCACTACCAGGCCCATGGTTTGCATGTGAAGAATAAGATTCAGTGGTTGTAGTTAATCAAAAGTGATAACACTACTTTGAAGGCTATGTTAGATACACCAGCAATCTTGGTATCACAATACTCATCCTATGAACTCTAGGCCTTGTTCTTTTACTGCCACAAACTCAAGCATGGAGTCAAACTGATATGACCTAGCTGAAAATAGCTCTTTTATATGAGGTTCCAACACTGTATTTATTCATTTCTTTCTAGAGATAAGGAGCTTGTAATAGAGATATTAAAGGAGAACAAAAACTAAGATCATCTCAGCCACTATTCAGTTTTTTCTTCCCACGAGATATCCAGCTTCTCCCACATCATCACTACATAAAAGGCCCAAATTAGAGGCTTTTTCAAAGCCACTAAAACAACCAAGAAGCCAAATCATACTCATCTTGTGACTATTTCTAATTTCTAAGACTGACCTCACAGTCTTACTATTGCTGTCTCCAGATCAAAGCTTAAAACCAACAAGAACAATGAGAATTGGCATGTGTGGTCAGAAGCAACAGTTACCGAGTCTGAGTCAACGGAGTGTGGTCTGAGGAAGAATGTGAAAAGTTCAGCATATGTTAAAACTGCCTGGTTGCTAATGTACAAGAATGACTATCTTTTAAATATCAAAATTTCCACACACACAAAAATCTATTCCCTAATTTACATACATGACAGCCCTTCACATTCACAGCTAATAATTGTGTCTTTTCCCTTTTCCACCCCCACTTCCTGCTTTGTGCACAGCAAATTATTCCCACTTTTTTAAAGCAATTATTTGTATGATTTGGTTGATAGATCTTTCAGTAGTCTGGATACCCTTTTCCAGATTGCCAATGTTCCTTTTAAACAGTGATTTGGTATTTAGTAAAACTTTACATTTCTACTGCACAGAAAATAAAATAACAGTAACTACCATTTTTGAGCACTTACAGTCTGCCAGTCAGTATGCTAAGTACTTTACAAGAATTATTTTTATGATGATTATTTAATCATTATTGTCTCAGTTTACCAAAGAGGAAACTGAGATGCAGGAAGCATAAATAAATTAAGTAGCTTACAGCTATTGAAGAGCCAGAATACAAACTCCATTCTCTTTGACTCCAAAGCTATTGTTGGAAAGTGATGCAGTTGAGTTGATATCAGTAAAATATGCCACAAAACCAGATATTATATACCATATTTTCTTGGTTCTAAGAAGCATAATTTCCTCCATTTTTTAAAGTTTCTGTAATCAGAAGGTATCTTAAAATTGGTGTAGACATCATGTGTATCTGTGTTGCTTTGCTCCTCCCTACTCCCCGCAAAAGAGCTGTTATTAAATAAGTGAATCATCTTAAAGCTGACAGGAAAGTAGAATCAAGGAAACACTTGACTCATTCCTGATTGTTCTCAGGCCTCATCCACCTGTCTGCTTCTACATGAAAGCACATCAATAATAATAATAATAATAATAAGGCAAATTCTAGTAGCTATTGCCCCAACCAACTCTGGCAATACCTCAGCCCTCAGGAAAGTGCCCAAAATGTGTTTGTTCATTCTTGTGTTCACCAGTTCTGTGGAGCTACACACCAATGCTGCCCATCTAGGCTGAACCATGACTTAAATCCCAGTGTTTCACAAATACCTTTGTTACGAGAGCTCCTGTAGCACCAGCCTGAAGCTTTCTCCCCAGAGAGTCTGATCACGAGGCCAGACATGGCAGGCAAAAGAATAGATTCCACTGTGACCTCCCTACCATGCCATCCCCAAGTGCTCCTATAGAAAATTCTGCCTGATAGGCCCCTTATGCCCATATAAATAAACCCATCAAAGACTTAACTCTGAGTTATGTGCTCCACTAATTCATATGATACTCCAAATACATCTGAATCCCACCAGGCTCAATTGATCTACACTCAAGACCCCGTATCTACCCACTCTACATACAGTTGTCCCAGATGAGGAACCCTATATATTATTCCATCATGGGAACAATATCATTCTCAAATATATGATTACAATTATTTCCAGAAGTAGAGGGAACTGGGCCAGGTGCAGTGGCTCACACCTGTAATTTCAGCAATTTGGGAGGCCAATGTGGGAGGATCACTTGAGGCCAGTTCGAGACCAGCCTGGCCAACATGACGAAATCCTGTCTCTACTAGAAATACAAAAATTAACCGAGTGTGGTGGCACATGCCAGTAATCCCAGCTACTTAGGTGGCTGAGGCAGGAGAATCGCTTGAACCCAGGAGGCAAAGGTCACAGTGAGCTGAGATAGCGCCACTGTACACCAACCTGGGTGACAGAGTGAGACTCTGTATCAAAAAAAAAATGTAGAGAGAATCATGATCCTTCTGGTCAGAAATGTTTATAAAGTTGGGGAGACACAAGGGAGGGTCTAAGAGCTAAACTTTTTCAATTAGGAAAACATGAGGTTACCAAATTGTGTAGGAGGATTGTTTGGGATGAGGTCACTTTGTCTCAAATTGTTTTGTACAGAAATACTTTAAAGTTAACACTTAATACATGCATGGTTTTTCAGGGTTCATGATGACCACTGACGATGAAAACCAGGCTCCTCCATTAGGAGTAGAGAAAGATCACCCAACAGAAATGCCTAGAAGTGACGACAGTGGAAGTGAGGTGAGCCTAGAGAGGCTGTGAGTAGTACCAAGCAGCAGATTTACATCAGAGACAAGTTGCAGGATCTGTACTTATTTTATAAGAAATCTTTAAGAAAAAATGAGACTAAGATGATGTGTGAGGTTCGTCGTGCTAGTGCTAGCAATCACAAATAAGTATAGACCGTTGTTTAACAGCTTTAAACCTATCCAACATAATAATCATAACAGCTACCATTTACTGAATGCCTACTGTGTGCCAAATCCTGTCCTGAGCCTTTTACATAAGACCATTGTTTATTACATAAGCAAAATGAGCTTTATAAACCAAGCTTTACTAACGCTAAACCAATACTTTTTACATGTCAAAAGTTAAAAGGTAGACTGAAGGTTGCCAGGGGCTGGTGGGGAGGAGAGAATGGGGAATTACTGTGTAATGGGTATAGCATTTCAGTTTTACAAGACAAAAAGAGTTCTGTAGATGGATGGTGATGATGACTACACAACACTATGAATGTATTTAATATCACTGAGCTGTATATTTAAAAATGCTTAAGATGCTGCATTTTATGTGTAGGTTATATGCATACCACAATTTTAAAAATTGGAGGACAAGATCTAATGAGAACCAAAGGGAACTGTGTTTTTCAAATGTAATCCTTTTAAATAAAACACAGAATCAAATATTGAATGTTATTAGCACAGATATTCTTCTAGATAGCACGTGCACTTTAGATTTTGGTTTACACATGAAAATAGAAGCAACATCACTAAGCAGCTCCTAAAAGGATTGCAAATATACCCATCACCACCAGAGAAGTCAGAAAGTACGTTGTTAATTCTGGTAATAAACGTGATTTTCAGGATCAAATTGTTGATTAGCATCCAGAAGATAAAATCATTTTAAGCCAGCCCAGAGAGATGAAAACATTCCTAAGACTTCCAAAGAGAGATTTTTAGTCCTTTCTGGAGCACTCAATTTCTATGTGAGTAGAGTCTCCCGTCAGAACTCATTCCAGTATTTGAAACTGTGAAAAAATTATTTCTAATATGAAAATCTGTACTTCATCTCGAAAAGAAAACAAAACACTTGCCTTCTAGTAGGCTTAAGATAAATTTCAGAACTTAGCATGATGATCAAGACCCTTTTTGACCAGGATCCTGCTAACTTCACCAACCTCACGGTGCAGGTCTCTCTTGCTCTGACTGTCAGCCTTCTGTAATGAGAAGGCCTTGGAGCTACACGGAGGCTTTGCTCACCACACAGCTCTCTGTCCACCATTTCTTCTATCTGGGCTGCTCTTCCCTTGTTAGGTGAGCCAATGCCTGTTTAATCCTTCAGAGCTCAGTTTAACTGTCATTTCTTCTGGGAAGTCTTCCTTGACTCCCTCAGTATTGAAATAAGCTCCCCTGCTTTGGGGAATCTCCTACAGGACCCATACTTATCTGTCCCATCACACTGTGAGGTTCTTAAGATCAGGGATTATTTTACTTGTATCATCAATACACAGCATGGAACTATATACAAAGTTGGCATGAATAGCTATTTGTGAATGAATTAAATATGAAGACAGGATGCCAACTCTGGGCATGGCATGACCAAAGCCCTAAGTGTAGGACACAATCCTTACTATTGAGGCATGTTTAATCTGTGCAGTATTGATCTAGGTGGAAATAAAAACAAACTGCCCACTGTCTTCTGTACAGTAGCCTTTTAAGTATGTAGACAGTATTATATAATTCTTACATAGGAAATAAAAGTCTAATGTCTTTAAACTTTGTTTTCAAGCCTTATTGTTCAATCTTTTAGACTTATTTCCTTCTTCTGAGCCCTCAAAAATCTTTCAAGACTTGACATCTACAAATTATTTTAGGAAGTAGTTTGTGAAAAGGTTCAGTAGATTCACAATTATTTAGCAAGGTCAGGGCTGGTCAGGGTTTCCTGCTGAATAATTCCTTTCTAGAGGATCCCTTTGTAAAGCACAAATAAGCTGACGTAATTCCACTGCTTAAAATCCCATTTTGGTTTCCCACTGCACTTAGATTAAAACTAAAGGTCCTGGCCAGGCGCGGTGGCTCACGCCTGTAATCCCAGCATTCTGGGAGGCGGAGGTGGGTAGATCACGAGGTCAGGAGATCGAGACCTCCTGGCTAACACAGTGAAACCCCGTTTCTACTAAAAATACAAAAAAAATTAGCCAGGCGTAGTGGCAGGCGCCTATAGCCCCAGCTACTCAGAAGGCTGAGGCAGGAGAATGGCGTGAACCCGGGAGGCGGAGCTTGCAGTGAGCCGAGATTACGCCACTGCACTCCAGCCTGGGCAACAGAGCGAGACTCCGTCTCAAAAAAAAAAAAAAAAAAAAAAAAAAAACTAAAGGTCCTAATAAACAGGTCATACAAGTTATGTCTTGCCCTCCTTGTTGATTTATCCCCTCCCCTCCAGCCTGCTCCCCAGCCTCATGCACTCCATTGTAGCTGGTACTTAAACATGACCTTACAGCTGGTCCTTAAACATGGATAGTTCATTCATGCCTCAGAGTCTCATCCCCTTACCTGGTGTACTTTTCCCTCAGGTATTTTCATAACCTGATCACATTCTTCATCCAGGTCTCTGTCCAAATACATCCTTGTTAGAAACTCCCCATGGCAGTGAATATTACTCTACTTTGCTCAATTTTACAGCCTTCATCACTACCTGAAATTATATCACATAGTATATCCTATGTGGCATACCAAAAGACATCTATGTTTGTTTATCATTTGCAATTTGCATCTCCCCTACTATGCACACACAATCTGGTCTTGTCTGTCATGACCACTACTGTATCTCTAGCTCCAGAACAGTGCCTGAAGCATAACAGAAGCATATTAAATACTGGTTGAATGGATGTATAAGCCTGTTGATATTTGTTTACTGTATAGGTTGCTTTTAGAGGAGCCATCTATACAAATATTCACTACTTCAATCACTGGAAACTCTTGTGCAGGCCAGGTGCAGGAAGGAGAGAGTTCTAACCCCTGATTTGAGTAGACTGGGGGTTGCATCCTGGCTCTTCCAGTTATATGGCCTTGTTACTCAATCTCTGATAGCCATGACTTCACCTTTATAAAATGTAGATAATAATGACCACTTCCTAGGTCTATTATGAGGATTCAATAAAAGTACCCACAAATCCATGAAAACACACATGCTTCACAAAGGGGGATTTTTTATCTCATCCCCCTCAGGTCTAGATTAGTACCTGGCAAGTGGTAGGCACATCTCTGCTGAATACTCTGAATGATTAATTCAGTAAACGTGTCAAGGGCTCAACACGGTGCTTCAGATGTCTGGGAGGCATAATCAGAGGGAGTTCCGCTCTCTATTCCTTCAATGTCAGAAAGAAAAAAAACTTTGGAATATCTGAAACAGTACATGCTTGAGGAAGAAATTTTGCCCAACAAATAATTAGGTTAAAAACTTATTAAAATGACAAAAGTTACATGAATTATAACATCCTCAGTGGTGAGGACAAAAATTCTGATACTTTTCTTTCAGGGACTTTTCAGCCTTATTTTAGGCATACAGAATACTTTTTTGTTACATAAACTATATGTTAAAGACTATAAAATTAATGTATCTTGACACATTCACTATCTGGACTCACATTACCTTTCTAATCACATCCTTTATAACTCTCCAACCCAAGCTCCATATCTAGTCAGACATGCACATATCCCTAAATTTTATATCAAAGATTCCTGTGGTAGTGACTGCGTGAAACCAATGCCAAGCACTAACTGACCTCTCAATTGGGAGAATCATAAGGAAGGGTGGTTTTTAATACACTCTTACGAGGACACATGGGGCGGAGTTGGAATAGCCATAAAAGACATTTGATGACCTTTTAAATATTCTAGTCTATCTAATACATATTGAACCATTTAGAAGCCCTTAAAACAATCTGTGCATGCCAGTACTAATAAGTAATAATCTAATGCGAGAGCTGACTATTGAAACCATCCTTATAAACTTCATAAAATTAGTCAGGGAAGAAGGGAGGAGAAAAATTAAAAATAAACCAAGTTTGCGCACAGCATTAACCATCAGCTCAGCTTGCCCTCTGACCTGCTTCCTCATAGTCATTTGGGGCCTACTGCCTCAGAATCACATAGATCTTGTTGCAAGAATATAGTCCTCCTTAACCGCTCTATAGACAACAACTTTAACATTATAAACATTAAGTTTTCCATTTGAGATATCCTTTCAAGGCCTGCATTTTTGTGAAACTACTGATGTCAGATGGTTTGATGGACCCCACAAGAAGCTGACTCATCAAGGAATGAGCTTTCCACATCCTGATGATTTTCACCCCCCGGACCTCGACCAATGAATGACCCCAATTATCCAGCCCCTCCCTTTCCATGGTCCAGCTCAGAACTCGTTGGTGTTGGATTTGAGAGTCTCCTTCCATCTCCTTACTTGGCATCCTGCAATGATTACACTCTTTCTCTGATGCAATCCCTGCTATCTCAGTGAATTGGTCCGTTACTGTGCAGCAGGCATATGAACCTATTAGTCCTTGATATGGTTTGGCCGTGTCCCCACCCAAATCTCATATTGAATTCCCCATGTTGTAGGGAGGGACCTGGTGGGAGGTAACGGAATCATGGGGGCAGGTCTTTCCCATGCTGTACTCATGATAGTGAATAAGTCTCACAAGATCTGATGGTTATAAAAATGGGAGTTTCCCTGCATAAACTCTCTCTCTCTTTGTCTGCTGCCATCCATGTAAGATGTGACTTGCTCCTCCTTGCTTTCTGCCGTGATTGTGAGGCCTCTATAGCCACATGGAAATATAATTCCATTAAACCTCTTTTTCGTTCCAGTTTTGGGTATGTCTTTATCAGCAGTGTGAAAACGAACTAATACAGTATATTGGTACCAGTAGAGTGGGGTGTTGTTGAAGAGATACCCAAAAATGTGGAAGCAACTTTGGAACTGGGTAAGAGGAAGAGGTTGGAACAATTTGGAGGGCTCAGAAGAAGAGAGAAAAATGTGGGAAAGTTTGGAACTTCTTAGAAACTTGTTGAATGGCTTTGACAAAAATGCTGATAGTGATATGAACAGTAAGGTCCAAGTTGAGGCAGTCGCAGATGGAGTTGAGGAATTTATTGGGAACTGGAGCAACAGTGACTATTGTAATGTTTTAGCAAAGGGATTGGTGGCATTTTGCCCCTGCCCTACAGATTTCTGGAATTTTGAACTTGAGGGAGATGATTTAGGGTATCCGGCAGAAGAAATTTCTAAGCAGCAAAGCATTCAAGAGGTGACTTGGGTGTTGTTAAAGGCATTCAGTTTTAAAAGGGAAACAGAACATAAAGGCTTGGAAAATTTGCAGCCTGACAATGTGATAGGAAAGAAAATCCCATTTTCTGAGGAGAAATTCAAGTTGGCTGCAGAAATTTGCATAAGTAACAATGAGCTGAATGTTAATCACCAAGACAATGATAAAAATGTCTCCAGGGCACGTCAGAGACCTTTGTGGCAGCCCTTCCCATCACAGGCCTGGAGGATTAGGAGGAAAAAATGGTTTTGTGGGGTTTTTTCCCTCTGCTGTTTGCAGTCTGGGGACTTGGTGCCCTGCATCCAAGCCACTCCAGCCATGATTAAAAGGGGCCAATCTACAGCTTGAGCTGTTGCTTCAGCGGGTAGAAGCCCCAAGCCTTCGCAAATGCACGTGGTGTTGAGTCTGCAGGTGCACAGAAGTCAAGAATTGAGGTTTGGACACTTCCACCTAGATTTCAGAGGATGTATGGAAACACCTGGATGACCAGGCAGAAGTTTGCTGCAGGGGCAGGGCCCTCATGGAAAACCTCTCCTAGGGCAGTGCGGAAGGGAAATGTGGGGTTGGAGTCCCCACACAGAGTCCCCACTGGGGCACCACCTAGTGGAGCTGTGAGAAGAGGGCCACCGTCCTCCAGACCCCAGAATGGTAGATCCACTGACAGCTTGCACTGTGTACCTGGAAAAAGGAGATCATTTTGGAGCTTTAAGATTTGACTGCCCTGCTGGATTTTGGACTTGCATGGGGCCTGTAGTCCCTCGTTTTGGCCAATTTTTCCCACTTGGAATGGCTGTGTTTACCCAATGCCTGTACCTCCATTGTATCTAAGAAGTAACTAACTTGCTTTTGATTTTACAGGCTCTGCCGAAGGGACTTGCCTTGTCTCGTGTGAGACTTTGGACTGTGGACTTTTGAGTTAATGCTGAAATGAGTTAAGACTTTGGCAGGCTGTTGCAATGGAAGGCATGATTGGTTTTGAAATAAAAGGACATGAGATTTGGGAGGGGGCAAGGGAAGAATGATACGGTTTAGCTGTGTCCCCACCCAAATCTCATCTTGAATTCTCATGTACTGTAGGAGGGACCTGGTGGGAGGTAATTGAATCATGGGGGCAGATTTTCCTGTGCTGTTCTCATGATAGTGAATAAGTCTCACAAGATCTGATGGTTTTAAAAATGGGAGTTTCCCTGCACAAGCTCTCTTTGCCTGCCGCCATCCATATAAGACATGACTTGCTCCTCCTTCCTTCTCCCATGATTGTGAGGCTTCCCTGGCCATGTGGAACTGTAAGTCCATTAAATCTCTTTTTCTTACCAATCTTGGGTATGTCTTTATCAGTGGCATGAAAATAGACTAATATAGTCCTACAACACTATTGTCCCTTTAACAATAAAGTTTACAATCCCAAATATAGTTTTAGTTTTTCAAAATGTTCTCCTTTCTGGAGGCTTTAACCATTTTAATCCTCATTTCTTTTCCTTCTTTATAACATGCACTTATGCAGAGGAAGAAAGAAAAGCTGTGTTCTTTAGAGAAAGTATTTAATGACAACAATTTACAGGAAGTAGACAAATATTTAACCAAACATACATTTAGTGTGATTCAAGTGGATGCCAAACCCAGTTATCTCTGCTGTATGCATGCCATCTGCTCAGCAAGGCACAGGAATCTATAACCCTTCTTAGAATGATAGAAGACAGGCTACACAGCATGAAGATACTGGCAATTTTGAGGCAATTTTGTAATTAAATAAATATCAATTCTTTTAAAAATTATTGTAAAGCAATACTAATATAAAATTACTATAAAGCAATGGGTACAATGTACACCCATTAGGTGATGGCTACTTTAAAAGCTCATACTTCACTACTACACAATATATCCATGTAACAAAATGACACTTGTACCCTTCTAAATCTATTCTTTTAATTACTCTAAGGCAAATAAAAGAGAGGTTTTCTTGTTCATATGCATGCATGATTTCATCTAAGATCACAGGAGAACACATTTTACAACTTTCATATTAAATAAATGACATTTTTCCAAGTATCATTCATAACTATCATATTTGGTTATCACATAAGATTCCATGAAGTAGATAAACCATAATTTATGTAACACCCTCCTACTGGTGGTCAATTAAGGTTTCCATTGTATCTTTATTCTGGGTAATGTAAAAAATATAAATGTGTGTCTGCAAATACAACATTTAAAACTTCTGTGTGAATTATTTTCTTTATAAATGTTCATATTCATTTTAAATCATTTATTTCCTTATTCAAGAAATGTTTTTAACTTGCTACTTCGTTCAATGCTTTGTGCAAACAGAAACACTTGCTCAAAAGGACTTTCCTATTCCTCATTGCCACTCTCTAATGATGATTATCATTTAATAATGTGTCACAAAACCTGCAATGAATGTGCTGTTAATTAAAATAAATTAATATCAAGAGGCCTGAAAATCAGATTTACTTTCTGTCCAATGCCTTCCTTTGTGTTAGTCTGTTCAGGCTGCCATAAAAAAAATAAAATAAAAACAAAACCATATTCTGGGTGGCTTAAATAAGAAAAATTTATTTCTCACATTTCTGGAGGTTGGGAAGACAGATCCAGTTTCTGATCAAGACTCTCTTCCTGGCTTATAGATGGTTACCTTCTCACTACGTCCTCACATGTTCTTTCCTCTGTCCTTGGGGAATGAGAGTGAGGCGGTACTAGAGCATTCTCTGGTGTGTTTTATTAGGGAGGCCAATCTGCTTTATTTAGTCTGTCAATTTAAATGTTAAATTATCTGAAACCACTCTCTCAGAAACACCCATAATAATGTTTGACCAAATATCCAGTCATCTTTTTTTTTCAAAATGGAGGATTAGAGGCAGTGTTAGCATGCCTCTCCCACTTGGAAGGATAGAATAGTGAGTAGAGGTTCACACTGAATTTTTTTTCCCAAGAACCAATGCACGAACTTAACAGAAAAACTGAAAGAATCCACAGACCCTTTGAAAGAAGTGGCAGGCTGCGGCCTACTCCATGAGAAAGGTGAAAAATTACAAGTTCTCAGAGTGTGAGAGGAGGACAGCCTGCCCTTGAACACACATACCCCCACACCCTCTCCCCCACCAGGGAATATGAAGATCCAGGCCATGGGAGAAGGCCTTAACCCTATCCAGAGCTGGAACAAACTTAGGGAGCAGCATGAAATATATAAGTAGAAGCAGCAGCAGGAAGTGCCTTGCAGGCATTCCCAGTCTCCAGTATTAACCAAGATAAGCCATTCCTGACTATATCTCACAGGAGCCCTTGGGGAAGTCAGCCGAAGAGCTCAGGGAGGGGCCACAGGGTGAAAGAGGCTCCCAACTAAACTATGTGATATAATCTCATCTGGGAATGAATTCCTGCTGCTGCTTCTACTTGTGAGACAAAAGCATCAGGTAACCTATAAAGGAAAACCTATCAAACAAACAGCAGATTTCTCAGTAGAAACCTTACAAGCCAGAAGGGACTGGGATCCTATCTTTAGCCTCCTTAAGCAAAATAATTGTCAGCCAAAATCTTGTATCCACAACAACAACAAAAAAGAAAACTTCAGGCCAACATCTTTGATGAACATCAATGCAAAAATGCTCAACAAACACTGGCAAACTGAATCCAGCAGCACATCAAAAAGCTTACCTACCATGATCAAATAGGACTTATTCCTGGGATGCAAGGTTGATTCAACTTATGCAAATCAAAAAATATGATTTATCACATAAACAGAACTAAAGACAAAAACCACATGATTATCTCAATAGATGCAGAAAGGACTTTCAATAAAATTGAACATCTGGCCGGGTGCGGTGGCTCACGCCTGTAATTCCAGCACTTTGGGAGGCCGAGGCAGGTGGATCATGAGGTCAAGAGATCAAAACCATCCTGGCCAAAATGGTGAAACCTTATCTCTACTAAAAATACAAAAATTAGCTGGGCATGGTGGGGCTTGCCTGTAGTCCCAGCTACTCAGGAGGCTGAGGCAGGAGAATCGCTTGAACTAGGGAGGCGGAGGTTGCAGTGAGCCAAGATCACGCCATTGCACTCCAACCTGGGTGACAGAGCCAGACTCTGTCTCAAAAAAAAAAAAAAATGAACATCTATTCATGTTAAAATGCTCAATAAACTAGGTATTTAAGGAATATACCCCAAGATAATAAGAACCATATGAATAGGCAAAAGCTAGAAGCATTCCCCTTGAAAACTGACACAAGATAAAGATGTCCTCTCTCACCACTCCTATTCATCATAGTATTAGAAGTCCTACCCAGGGCAATCAGGCAAGAAAAGGAAATCAAAGGCATCCAAATAGGAAGAGGGGAAGTCAAACTATCTCTGTTTGCAGATGACATGATTCTATATCTAAAAATCCCCCAAAACTTCTTTTTTTCTTTTTTGAGACCGAGTCTTGCTCTGTTGGCCAGGCTGGAGTGCAGTGGCACTATCTTGGTTCACTGCAATCTCCACCTCCAGGGTTCAAGTGATTCTCATGCCTCAGCCTCCCAAGTAGCTTGGATTACAGGTGCATGCCACCATACCCAGCTAATTTTTGTATTATTATTATTTTTTCCAAGACGGAGTCTCGCTCTATTGCCAGGCTGGAGTGCAGTGGCTCGATCTTGACTCACTGCAACCTCCACCTCCCAGATTCAAGCGATTCTCCTGCCTCAGCCTAATTTTTGTATTTTTTGTAAAGATGGAGTTTCACCATGTTGGCCAGGCTGGTCTCTAACTCCTGATGTCAAGTGATCCACCCACCTTGGCCTCCCAAGGTGCTGGGATTACAAGTTTGAGCCACCATGTCTGGCAGAAAAAAAAAAAAAAACCTGAGAAAGCTTCTTAAAGTGATAAACGACTTCAGCAAAGTCTCAGGAAAACAAAATCAATGTGCAAAATCACTACATTCCTATACACCAACAGCAGTTAAGCTGAGGGCCAAATCAGGAACATACTCTCATTCACAATTGCTACAAAAAGAATAAAATGCCTAGGAATACAGCTAACTAAAGAGGGGAGCAAGGAAACTAAAAACCACTTCTTGCAGAAATCTTAGATGACATAAACAAATGGAAAAACATTCATGTTCATGAACAGGAAGATCAATAACATTAAAATGGCCATACTGCCCAAAGCAAGTTATAGATTGAATGTTATTCTTATTAAACTACCATGGAGACTCTTCACAGAACTAGAAAAAAACTATTTTAAAATTCATATGGAATCAAAAGAAGAGCCTGAATAGCCAAGGCAATAGTTAGTAATAAAAAACCAAGCTGGGGGCATCACACTACTCAATGTCAAACTATACTACAGGGCTACAGTAACCAAAACAGCATGGTACTGGTACAAAAACAGACACATAGACCAATGGAACAGAATAGAGAGAACCCAGAAATAAGACCACAGACCTACAATATCTGATCTTTGACAAAACTGACAAAACAAGCAATGGGGAAAGGATTTCCTATTCAATAAATGGTGCTGGGATAACTGGCTAGCCATATGCAGATTAAAACTGGACCCCTTCCTTACACCATATACAAAAGTTAACTCAAGATGAATTAAAGACTTAAATATAAAACACAAAACTATAAAAACCCTGGAAGACAACCTAAGCAATACCATTCAGGACATAGGTATGGGCAAAGATTTCATGAAGAAGATACCAATAGCAATTGCAACAAAAGCAAAAATTGACAAATGGACTCTAATTAAACTAAAGAGCTTCTAAACAGCAAAAGAAACTGTCAACAGAGTAAACAGATAAACCACAAAATGGGGGAAAAAGACACATGCACATGTATATTTACAGCAGCACAATTCACAATTGCAAAGATATGGAACCAACCAAAGTGCGAATCAACCAACAAATGGATAAAGAAAATGTGGTATATGTACACCATGGAATACTACCCAGCTATAAAAAGAAAAGAAATAATGTGTTTTGCAGCAACTTGGCTGGATCTGGAGGCCATTACTCTAAGTGAAGTAACTTGAGAATGAAAAACCAAATATTGTATGCTCTTACTTATAAGTGGAAGCTAAGCTATGAGGACACAAAGGCATAAGCAGAATATAATGGACTTTGGGAACTCTGGGGGGATGGGGAACAAAGACTGGGAGGGGAGTGAGGGATCAAAGGCTACATATTGGGTACAGTATACACTGCCTGGGTGACAGATGCACTAAAATCTCAGAAATCACCACTACTTATGCATGTAACCAAAACCCACTTGTACCCCAAAAACTACTGAAACAAAATGAAATTTTTAAAAAACTTGTAAAGGCCATCAAAAATGAGAAACTGTCATAGCCAACAAGGCCTCAAGAGACCTGACAACTAAATATATCTGGTGTCCTGGATGAAATCCTGGAACAGAAAGGGGACATTAGGTAAAAACTATTGTATCTATATTGATACATTATCATTAACTAAAGTTCGAAATTTATTCCGATTTTTAAACTAAAGTTCATACTTTAGTTAATGATAATGTATCAATATTGGCTCACTGATTGTAACAAATGCGCCATACTAATGTGGGATATTAGTAATAGGGATGCTAAATGTTGAGTATATGAGAATTCTGTACTATTGTAAATCAAAGATGTTTCTAAAGAATAAAGTCAATTAAAAAATAAAAGTAAATAAAAATAAAATTAAAAAATATGTATCCAGGCATCCATTCTACAGGATCAGTGTCCTACTCTTATGACCTCATTTGACCTTAATTACTTCCTCAAGGCCCCCTCTCCATATCCAGCCCCTTGGAGGTTGGGGCTTCAGTATATGAATTGAGGGAGTGGGGAGTATACAAACATTTCATCCATAACATTCTACCCACATGCAGGATAGTTGTATCATGTTAGATGGAATTATGACCTTGCTGTTGTTTTCATCTGGAGATTAAGTATAGTTTAAGGAGATGTATATGGGTTACCAAGTTGACAAGGGGTGGGCTTGTGATAGATAATTTTAGGTGTCAACTTGATTAGGCCACTGAATGCCTGGATATTTGGTCAAACATCATTATGGGTGTTTATGGGAGGGTGGTTTTGGATGAGTTTAACATTTAAATTGACAAACTAAGTAAAGCAGATTACCCTCCCTAATGTGAGTGGGCTTAATTTAGTCAGTTGAAGACCTGAGTAGAACAAAAAGTTGACCCTTCTCCATACAAAAGGGAATTCCTCCTGCCTAACTGCCTTCAATCTGGGACATCATTTTCTTTCTGCCTTCAGACTCAAACTGAAACATCATCTCTGTCTGAGTTGTGAGCCTGAAGCCTTTGAACTGGAATTAACACCATCAGCTCTCCTGAGTCTCCAGCTTGCTAACTGCAGATCTTGGATCTTGGGTCTTGTCAACCTCCATAATTACATGAACCAGTTCCTTATAATAAGTCAATGTCTGTCTGTCTCTCTCTCTTGCTCTGTCTCTCCATATGCGTATACATCCTATTGGTTCGATATCTGACTAACACCCCTAAGGCACGCTTTCTTCAAGATGCTTTATAAAACAAACTTAAACAACCTCAAACTTAAACTAAAATGTGCCTTATTTAAGAAGCAGTTGTATTAGTTACTCAGATCAAAATAAAATGCCACAGTTCTGGGATCAATAAAATTCTGGAGGCATAAGTGTTCAGCTGTGAAGTAGAACCACAGTAGATTTTTCAGAATTTTAGAGAGCGCCATTCAATTTCAAGTCATCCACTTTATTTTACCCACAGCAGGAGACTCAAATTATTTTAAATAAAGTGTCATAACCGAAGCAACTTCCTTAATATTCTGATAAACCTCAGCTTTGGGAATGTGCAGAGCGACAAATGGAATAAACCCTGGCACTTGCTTACTTGTGGTACAAATCCTAAGAATTTAACCTCTCTACTATACTAATGTAATACCAATGGTTAAAAAAATTATGTACCTATGTCTGTCTATATAAATAGTTGTGTGTGTGTGTGTGTGTGTGTGTGTGTGTGTGTGTTGAGACAGATATATAGAGAGAAACAATAATAACAACAGAAACATTAATTAGAAGCATCTCTGTTTTCAAGGATGCAGGAAAAAGAAAACACTTACACACTGCTTGTGGGAATATAAATTAGTACAACCATAAGAAGGCAGTATGGAGATTTCTCAAAGAACTAAAACAGAAGTGCCACTGAATTCAGCAATCCCACTACCAGGTATGTACCCACAGGAAAATAAAGCATTATATCAAAAAGATACCCGCAATCATTATGTTTTTAACAATAGCAATGATATGGAATCAACCTAATCGTCCATCAATGGAGGGTTGGATAAAGAAAATGTGGTATATATACACCATGGAATACTATTCAGCCATAAGAAAAGAATAAAATTATGTCTTTTGCAGAAACATGGATGGAACTGGAGGCCATTATCCTAAGTGAAATGACTCAGACACACAAAGTCAAATACCACATGTTCTCACTTATAAGTGGGAGCTAAATAATGTGTGCATATGGAATTACAGGGTGGAATAATAGGAATTGGAGACCCCAAAAGGGGGAAGGGTGGAAAGAAATTGAGAGTTGAAAATGTACCTATTGGGTGCAATGTTCATTATTTGGATAATGGGTGCACTAAAAGCCTAGACTTTGCCACTACCCAATACAGATGCGTAAGAAGTCTGCACTTGTACTCCCTAAATATATTTTTTTAAATTTTAGTTTAAAAAATAAGCATTTCTTTTTTTTAGTTTCCATATCAAAAAGGAGATGAATGTTACATTTGTTCTATATCCAGCATGAAAGCACCAAAGCACCTTTGATACAGTCAAAGATTAATTTTTTAAAGCCAATGGAGAAAGGGTGTTTTAAAGATCATCTTACTTTACAACTACTGCCTGCAAGGAAGGTCCCCTTCAAGTTACCAGGTCTAGGTCATCTGATCTTTTTAACTCACAAGTCAAGAAGAATGAAAAAGTTTTAAAATGTTAACAAAAAAGTTATTTTAAGGGAATAGCTATCAGGACAGCTCACATGATTACCGTGGATGTGAGGGTAAAAAATGGAGGCAAAGCTGCTTCTTTTGAAAATGCTCTGCTTACTCCCCAAAAGAGGCACTTAGATCATGAATGGTCTCTGAAACCTGTACCCAAAGGCATCCTGTAGAACGTGTCGGATCATTGTTAAGAACTTCTTCTGCTACAGTTTGGGTATGGCTTGTTGTACCCACTAAATCTCATGTTGAAATTTGACTCCCAATGTGACAGTGCCGGGAGGTGGGCCTACTGGCAAGTGTTTGGATCAAAGGAGCAGATCCCCCATCAATGGCTTGCTGCTGTTCCCTTGATAGTTCCAGAGTTCTCTCTCTGGAAAGATGGCATTTGTCCTCTTAGGAATAGGTTAGTTTCCATGAGAGTGGGTTGTTAAAAAGATAGGATGCTTCTTGGGTCTGGCCCCTCTTTGCACACACCCACTTCCCCTTTGACCTCTGCCATGTTTTGATGCAGGACAAAAGTCCTAAATATTCATTTCTTTTTAGATATGGAAATTTTAAAAGGGATGCTTGTAGTTAATTTTTCTGTTATTATTGTTGTTGTTTTTTTCTCTCTATCTCTGGGATAGAGAGACAGAGTAAATTTATAGGGTTTGTGCCTGAAGTAAACAAGTTGCCAAACTTGTTTCTAAAATAACCAAAAGCTGAGGAGATACCAGCACCATGCTTTGTGTACAACCGCATAACTATAAGCTGAATAAATCTCTTTTCTGTATAAATTACTCAGTCTCAGATATTCTTTTGTATTAACACAAAATGGACTAAGGTACCCTCTGGACTCAGAGAATATCAATCATTCATTCTTTTATTGACTGACAAATCATATATCTACCTTTTAGCACATATTATTAAGCATCTCCTCCTTTTCTTTCTTCATTTCTCACACGCATTGCCAGCACACTCAACATCACCAGCTAATCTCATGGTGATTTTCTAAGATCTCTTATATAGGGCTCCAACCAGATTTTCTCCCTCTGAAGACCTCTACATTCCAAATTTGTGCTTCAATATCTTTTGCCCAACACACACACACACACACACACACACACACACACACACACAGAGAGAGAGAGAGAGAGAGCCTTCCATCCCTTCAGCTAAGTGAATATCTCATTAAAGGCAAGTAAGCTGTGAATCATGACTAAAAATTTCCCCACAGAACTGCATGTAAATTCTTAAATACTAATTAGTGGATAATAGGGTATTTTGGAAAAGAGATGGTAGTTAAGAATATTCTTTTCTCAACAAATACCACCCACTTCTATGACTACATCCCCTCTCATACACAAATATACACACCCACATTGTTAGAAGAATAGAAATTAGACCCTTAGGAATTAACTTGGAAAAGTTTTCTACTTCTAAAATGTAGCCAAACTTACTTCTAAAATAACAAAGCAGTGTCTTAGCTCAAAGGACAGTGTAGATGAAAACACAGCCTCTCTTGGCAGTATGAGAAAGATTTGAGTATTTCATTTTATCTGTATGTCTGATTAAAATGCAGAACTGAGTTATTTCATCAACACTTTTAATGCAGTCATCATCATCACCACCTCTTTAAAGAGGAGCAGTAGAGAGTATTGTCTAGTCTACACAACTTTCCAGAAATGTTTGAATTAATTCAATCACGGACTCACAATTTTGGAAACCATTCATTTTTCTTCTTTTCCTGTTAACAAAATATTTCAGGTAGAACTCACATTCACTGGTTGTAGTTAACCAATCATAAAGATTAAAAAGGGACAGTGAGTCTTCTTTTGGCTTTGCTTGCCTATGTCTTTGGCTGTGTGTCAAAAGCACTCAATTTTGCCATCATAATTCTTTAATAATGTGGCTTGTAGTATTGATTTCAGTAAACAGACCCTAGAGAGCCTAATAGATTTTAGAGATTTATGAATGATAAGTAGGCCCATTTGGTCATGTCTTACAGAGTAATAAATGTCTGAGCCAATTTCCTTTGCCTTTGTACACGCAGCATCTACTCTTTGCCTAATGCAGGCTTTGAATGGAAGTGGAATTGGCTGATGAAGAGCCCAGGCTTCAGTGCCTGACCACTAGGGTGGGAACCTGACTTTGCCAGTGACTGGTGACTTGCAACTATTCATTTATTCATTCAAAAATATTAATAAATAATTCAAAATATTTATTGAGTACTGACAATCTGCTAGACACTCTTTTAAATGCTCATGATACAACAAAGAACCAAACTAAGCTCCCTGCCCTTCTGGAGTTTATTCTCACAGGAAAAGAGAAAGAGAGAATAAGCAATAGTTATTAGAAAACAAGTAAGTAACTATACATGGCATATTAGACTGTGCTAAGTATAACATGGGGGAAAATACAGAGTCAGTGACAGGGACAGTAAGGTGAGAAGTTGTCATTTTAACTAAGGTAGTTTGGGGAGACCTTACTGACATTTAACAAACATTTAAACAAAAAGTTGAAGTGGGTGAGGGATTTATCTATCTGTAGAGTTCAAGGAACATTATGGAAGCCACTTTGGCTAGAACACTCCAGATTCATATACTCAGTTACTTACCTAACAGTGAACATCTACAATTGAATGTCACTCAGTCATCTCAAACTTTACATGTCTAAACTGTAACTCTGGATTTTCTCTCACAACACATCTCTGCCACCAGCTCCAATCTTCTTCATTTCAGTGAGTAACCCTGACATCTACCCAGTTGCAGAAGTCAAAAACCAAGGAAATGAGCTTGATTCCATCTTACCCAGCCATACCCACATTCAGTGCGTAATTAACTTCTGTCATAACAATCTCCAAATGATCGTGCAACTGTCCACTTCCCTGGGAGATTCTCTGCTGCCACACTATGCTAGGCCCCATCATCTTTTTGTCACCTAACTGCTCCCTAACTAGTCTCCATGTCCATTCCCATGTCCATCCTTGCTTTCCTCAAATCCACATATCATGCAACACCCAAAAGGAACTCTTTAAATATAAATCAAACCATATCACTCCCTTGCTTGAAACTATTCAAAATAATAATTCCAGATGAAAATATAGTTGAATTTATTTATAATTCATTTATGCTGTGGGAGTAGAACTGGTCTTTTAATCACAGCATAAAACCTAGGTGCCATAAAGAACAACTTGATAAATTTGACTACTTGAAATCAAAACCCTGGAAAACAAAATATCAAGCTGTGAAAATATATACTATACCAGGCATACTTTCCTTGATTACAAATTAATCATTTCACAAGGAGCTCAGATAAATCAATGATGAAAAGAATGACCCAGTAGAAATGTGGTTAAAATGTAGGAATAGGATCACAAAAATACAAACATAAAAAACTTATAAACGTAAGAAAAGAAACTCGATTGTAAGAAATTAATTTCAAATGACATTGAGAAACCATTTTTTATTTCCCAAATATAAATTAAAACATTTTCTGATATCCAGTATTGTGGATTGTGTAGGAAAATAGACACTCTTGTATAATCGGACGGAGCAGTTTTAAGTTGGCGAAGTTATTCTGGAAAGACATTTTAACATTATCTCTCCATGATATTTCTTAATAATAGCACTTGCAAAAGTGTGTCATGATGTACATATGAAGATGTTTCTTGTAGTATTATTTGTCATAACAAAAAAAGAAAGCCACAAAAATATCAATAGGTGACTACTTAAAAAAATCATATACTCATAATATAGAATATTATGCACTTTTAAATAAGAATGAGATATTCTGTGAGTGCTGATATATTTTTATGTGAAAGGGTAAATACAGAATATGATACAAATATAACCTCTCTATATATGTATATATAATATAAATATATTACATATATATTTGCATAAAATTTTAAAGAAAATAAACTTTAATAGTGAATACTCTTAGGAAAAGGGCATGAGCCATCAGAGTGAGAAACAGAAATATGTGGTGTTCACATGTATAAAAACAAAACTTTTATTTTTAATCAAAATATGCTACTTGGGCAGGAAGATTATGGATCATTTAATTTTTTGCATTTCTCTGTATTAAAATAAAGAAAAGTAAATGCCATACAATTTCAAAAAGAGAAGATCTGATCTTAGAAATAACAATGTAAACTCTTTTAAAATACCTTCAATGGTTCCCCATTGCACCTAGAATATGATCCAGGCTTCTTACCATGGCCTAGATCCCATAACCTGCATGCACTAGGCTTTGTCTACCACTTTTACCACTCTTTCCTGCAACTAAACAACATCCTCGCTGCATTCTTTCAATTTTTCAAATGTGCCATAGTATGAGAGCCTCAGGAGCTTTGCACCTGCCACTCGTTCTGCTAAGGATATTCTTCCTCTGGCTCTGTATGGCTAACTCCTCATTTTTTAGATCTTGGCCTAAATGTCACTTCCTCAGAAGATCTTTTCCCATCTGCTCTAACTGAAGATGTTCCCCTACTCCTAATTATTATCTCAGGTCTTAGTTTATTCCTTCATATTGTCTTCTAATTCTTTTGTTTATTTTTTCTTTTACATTTTTGGAGAGTAAGCGCAGGTGGACCTTCCACTAAAACACATCTCCTCGAAGACAGGGAATCACGTTTCTTTTGTTCACCTTTGTGTTTATGTCCAATGCCTAGCACATAGTAGGTTTGCAATAACCAAGGTGACCACATAATTGATCATCCAGATAGTGACAATTTTCTAAAAAAAAAAAAAAAAAAAAAAAAAAAGGAGCTGAGTAATTCCTCCAGGGCAAAAAGTACAAACAGGAGAGTTTTAGATTTCATGCTCAATGATTTCATTAGGAAAAAGAGACAGCTCAAAATAGACAAATATTAAAAATCTGTCTTTAAAAGTTGTTTTCTGAACTCCCCCTCTCCCTTTATGCTGTTTCTTGTTCCTGCTGTCCACAAACAGAAATGGCAAGGTTTCCATTTATCTTTTGGGTTGACCTTCTAATTTAATTCAGCCAGCTAATCTATAGGACTTGCCTCAAACTATAATTCTTCTCCCTAATTCCAATTGCTGCTCCTTTACTACACTTGATTGAAAAATAACACCATGCAAACGGTCCTCAAGAAAACATTTCTAACTCAGAATTGGACTTTGTCCAGGCAGAATTCAGAACTGCAGTTAAATATGTTGTCAATTTCCCTCTAAACTGTGATAACTAAATTAATGAGAATCAACTTTATTTTCCCCTGCTTGGCCAGAAGAGATTAAAAATAAATAAAGATATAGCCACATATCTGCCATGATCACTCTTATTAAATAATTCAGTCCTCCACAATGCCCTGGAGGGCTACCGGTTTATCAATGTTATTACACAAATATGCATGTGCACACACACATACACTGAATAAAAGGTAGCCTACAAGAGTGTAATTCTTGACACTCTAGGATGTCCACACATCTCAAAGGGACAGGTATATTTCTTTGCAAATTTCTGGGACAATAGTATGAGTTGGATGAACCTAAGTTTGAACTAAGCTCAAACAATAACTATAGAATTATTTAGACTTTTTTCCTTAGTTTCTTATCTTTCTACATGAGGTCAGTTTCTTATCTTTCTACATGAGGTGGGTACATGGTACCTAATTTGTGGGGTTTTGTGGGATTAAGTGGAAATCTCATAGTAAATCTTATTATCCAAATATCAGCCCAGTACTTGGCATATATATAAAATGTTCGATAAATGTTAGCTTCTTTGATACTTTTTCTCTCCCCCTACGCCCACCACAGGAGAGCAGCATGCATTTCCCAGGACACATCAACCTAACATGTAGGCTTTGCAGTGGGGAGGAGGGTTATAAGGAAAGAGGAAAGGGGGAAGTGAATAATGAGGGTAAAGATCGTAATGATTTGTCATTCTCCCTGTGAAACTATTTTGTGTTCTTGGTACTGCTGCTTGTGTTCCCTCCATTCTGATTCACAAGAGTCTTTTCTTAACAGCTTCCAGATACATGATGTTCTGACAAGCTAACTGAATACAGCAGTTTTACATTTTTGACTTGACCCTTAGAAATAAGCCATTATACTGTTAGCTTTTTTATTACTAAGTATTATACTGTATATAAGAGAAATCCCTCCTTCAGCTTCAGTAGGTATGAATGACGTAGGTATGAAAATCTGGGACAGAGCACAAATCAAGGGGAGCTATCAACAATGGCAGAAGGGTCAAAGGTGGGTTGCAGTCTAGATGGAGCAGAGAGTTCAAGTGTCTGCAGGTGCTACTTGAAAACACTATAAGCCAGGCTGGGCGCAGTGGCTCACACCTGTAATCCCAACACTTTGGGAGGCTGAGGTGGGCAGGTCACTTGGGGTTAGGAATTCAAGACCAGCCTGGCCAACATGGTGAAACCCTGTCTCTCCTAAAAATACAAAAAATAGCTGGGCGTGGTGGCGCATGCCTGTAATCCCAGCTACTCTGGAGGCTGAGGCAGGAGAATTGCTTGAACCCGGGAGGCGGAGGTTCCGGTGAGCTGAGATCACACCACTGCACTCCAATCTGGGCGACAGATCCAGACTCTGTCTCAAAAAAAAAAAAAAAAAAAAAAAAAAAAGCACCATAAGCTAGAATCGGAGGGTTGTTTTTAAGACCCTGACGCATCCATGGTATCAAACCAGACACCTCAACTGGTCCTGGTTTACAGGACTCTCTGGAGTTTACAGGTTGGTGGCAGCATTGACTCTTCCCTTCCCCGCACCACTTCATTTAAAAACCTCAGCCCCAGTGTTTTAAAGTTTCTCCGTTAATCAAATGTATATATCCTCAGGCAAATAGGATGGCCAGTAAATCCCTCTATTTTTCCAGAACTCCTGAGGCAGGCACTCAGTTAGAACACACCTGCTGGGATTCTTACTACCCAAAAAAACAATTAGAAAACTTTTAAACTCACAAGGAAGAAAATGCCAAAATTTGAATCTTGCTGAATGTCTTTGCAACTCTCTCCCATTTTTTGGTGCAAAATATGAATGTAATTAGTAATTTGTGTTTGAAGTTTCTCTTTGTCTATGTAAAGCTTCAGCTCAAAATATTTTAGTATCTGCTCTTTCCTTCAGCAATGTTAAATGAAGCATTGCAAATTCAGCTTTATATACAATTATTTTTTGAAAAACAAATCCTAAAAGAATATTTAAATTTAATTTCATAAAGAAACCAAATTTACCACATTTCCATTTTGTAATTATTTCCCTTTGTTTTCAAGCAGTTATGGCCATGAATGGTTGTTTTCTTCATAGTAATATTTCTTTTCTGGCATTTGAAGAAAGGATACTTAGCTTTCAAATTAATAGTGTTCTTTTACACTATTCTTACCTATTTGGAAACCCTATGATGCACAGACACTTACAAAATTTGGAAAAAGACCACATTTCCATTTGAAAAAATTGGAAAATAATTACAAGAACTGTCACTGAATTTTTGGCTAACAAAATACAGCGAAATAGAATAGGCAAATGTCAATAAGTGAGTGCATTTAATGTAAATGAATTATTTGCTATAACAATGATGCAAATTTATTCTCATGACTACTTCTTGCTCCAGAGCGACTCCTTAGTGTTAAGAAGTTAGGACTAGTAAGAGGCCAAATGAGGTGTGGGTAGTACTTTACTTTATCTTAGAAGTGGCAGAGCTGACACTGACCTGAGCGAATGACATTAGCTTTCTCTTAATCCTTGGGTGCATTGATGTATTTTCCAGCCCTTCTTTGTGTCTCTCTTGAAGTGTGCCCCTTCCTTCGCACAAGCCCCTTGGGCCTCCTGAAAACATATAAACTCAAATATGTGCATCCCTCCTATAATTAACCACACCTCTCTGAAGTCCTCTGCACTGGAATAATTACCTCGTGTTCATCTCTGTCACATGAAATTTCAACCCAATACCTGAAGGAGCCAGACAGCAGCTTGTTCTACCTATAATTCCTTGATCAAAGTATTAATGCCTCTGAACTTGTTTTCATATATTTAAATTAATGATGATAATACTTATTTCATACTGCTTCTGTGAAGACTAAGTAGGTTAATATATGGGTAAACCCTACTATGGTGCTACTAACCTCTAAACTCTAAACTAGAGAAAGCTGCATTTCTACACACCCTTCAGAACCCTGGTCTTGAGTAAGATTTAGGGTATTTACTTTACTTTTACCCCAGTCCAGCCAAAGATGCTGTAAAATTAATGGTGACAATGGCTATATTGAAATGTGGGGTGCCAATCCTATTGACCACAGGCACTGCCTCTTTGTGGGAGGAATTATTTTCAAAGATCAAGGTTCCTGGAGTTTAACTAACAGAGAACCACTTAGCATTGATCTTTCTATGTCTTTATTCTGTTCAGAACATTATAGAAAAGACTTATATTTTTAAAAGAGTCTCTTTTGTGCATATATTGCTGTGTAAAAAAAAACTAATTTCCATATATAGCAGTTCAAAATAACAAAGGTTCAAAAGCAGAAGTTTTGTTTTTGAGCCAGAAAACAAAAACAGCTTAACTGAGGGTCTCTGTCCCAAGGTCTCTCATAAGCTTATGAGGTTGTATTTGAGCCATAAGCTGGAACTGTTGTTTCATCTGAAGTCTTGATGGGGAAAGTGTTTAAGGAAATTTATTTCTAATCTGCATACAGTTGTTGAGAAGCCTTGGTCTCTCTCCATGACAGCCTCTTCACAAAACATGGCAGCTGAATTTTCCCAGGGCAAGTGATTTAAGAGAGAGTGAGTGCTATGGTTTGAATATTTGTCCCCTCCATAACTCATGTTTAAATTTAACCTCCAGTGTGGCAGTATTGAGAGGTTGGGCCTTTAAGAGGTTATTGGGTCAAAGGGCTCTTTCCCTCATGAATGAATTAATTTACCTATAGATTAATGGATTAATGGGTTAATGGATTCATGAGTATTATGCGAGTGGAACTACTGGCTTTATAAGAAGAGAGGCTTGAATCAGTGTGCTCAGCTCCCTCGCCATGTGACGTCTTGTGCTGCCTCAGGACTCTTCAGAGAGTCCTCACCAGCAAGAAGGCCCTTTGCCAGATATGGCCCCTCAACCTTGGACTTCTCAGCCTCCATAACTGTAGAAAATAAATTTATTTTCTTTATAAATTACTTAGTTTTAGGTATTGTGCTTTAAGCAGAAGAAAATAGACTAAGACCACGAAAGAGTCCACAAGATAGAAGCACAGTCTTTTTTATAACCTAATCTCAGAAGCAACATTCCATTACTACTGCCATATTCTTTTCATTAGAAGTAAGACCCTCAATTCATCCCACACTCAAGGAGAGGTAATTACAAAGAGAATAAATACCAGTATATGGGGATCCACTTAGTCACAGACATAATCATTTATGTCTCAAAGAAAGGCTGGATGACTCCTCTCTGGCAGTGACCAATTTGTTGAGTTTCTCGACTGTGAGAGTGCTGCTGCTTTCTCTCTCCCTTCTTTACCAAGTTTAGAGGAACTGGAAACCCATCACCCTTTAAGAAAGTTTATATCTGACAAGTATGTCACAATGCTTCAGATCATGTTTATAACCCATGCCTACTTGGTACAATTTCATGATGTGACTTTGTGAAAAAAGCAAATAAATAATATTCTCTAAAAGATCCATTGTCACTGGTATTTCTGTTCAAATTCTACTCTTGGCCAAGCTAATGCAATATAGTTAGAATGTCGCACATTCTCTGATTGTCCTGGTATTTATAAGTCTTCCAACCAAAGCATGAATATTTCCATAAGCATTAGTTCAGTCCTCTGGAAAGCCATTTGGGCCAAAATGGAATACACCAGTGTATTAAATTTGGAGGTGTTACCCTTGAAGTTTGCTAAATGTTTCTCTTGTGATCTGAAGGAGTTAATATGACACACATGGCTTAATTTGTAATGAGGATGGTAATTGAGCACTGAACATAATAAAGCACTTTATATTGGTGTCCTACTGAGATCTGGTTTATAGTCTTTGGAAACAATGCATAAACATAAAATGACTTTTTTCTTTTGTGCCTGGAAAACTAGAAATTACATTTAAATACCACTAGAACGCAAAGATTATCAGCCAAAGGAACACACTATCAATTTGAAAGCTAAGTATCTTTTCTTCAAATGCCAGAAAAGACACATAACTATGAAAAAACAAAAAATCATGGCCATAAAGACAATTGAAGAAACAACAATTTTCAAACTGCATTAAATGGGGCCTTGGGATTCCCTATAAGTGCTCCCAGAGACCTACAGACAAGGGAAAGGGGAAGCCAACTGGACAAGGCTCTGAGCTCTCCTGAGTCGGGCTCCCACTCCACTCAAGGTAGCTGTGCCTTGATCTGTTTCACAAATAGGATTAGTTTACAATGTTATGCAAAAATCGAAAATATCCAGCACTGGCAAACATGAGAAGTGAGATCTTATGCACGCATTGTAGGTAAGCATGCTAAATACTGCAACAGCTTTAGATGGTACTCTATCTATAGAGTCTATCAAAATTTAACTCTGAATACTTTTGCCCCAGAGAGTCTACATCTAAAGTACTACAATGGGCTAATAGACAGATCCTGTGCAGCATAAACTCAAGCAGAATAATACATTTAATAGGATAATTAACACCTTCTGGCTTTGGGATAATAATATAGCCCCCGACTGATTTAATGAATTAAACTATTCTTACCCTATTTTGAAACCCTATGATATACAGGCATTAAGAAAATTTGAAAAAAAAAAAAAAAAGACCACATGCAGGACAATGTTTACCTCTCACTGGACAATAATTTTTTAGTTTCTGTAAAAGGGTCCATAGTTTGTATTTTCATATCCAGCCAGCATGACCACAAACTGATACAGAGAAAGTGTCCAAAAGATGTTTGCTGAATAGTTAAATGACTAAGTGTTGAATAATATGTAAATACATCAAGAAAAAGCAATAATAACTATCATTGCCTTGACAGTATCACTGGAAATGGCTCCTTTCAGGAAAATCAAACAGCCACTTATTATATACTCTGTCACTTATTTTCTACTCAGATGCACAAAAGAAAGAAACAAGAAATGTGTCATGGACAATGGTAAATTAAACAGATTGCTCCATGGCCATGGAAAAGACTGCAAGCTATATACCTATGACAGCAGCAACTCTAAAAGTATTTTTATTATCATGAGGGCAAGTACAATTTATTTGACATCTCCAGGTAATGGGAAAAAGTGCAGTGAGTTTTATATTGTCAGTTAGCTATCAAGTCACTAAAACAATAATTCTACTAAACATTTGCAGTGATAGCCTAGAGGAAAAGTATGCCTGATCTGAAACATAATTTCCCTTGACAGTCTGTGTCACACCATGGTCTCATACCTTAGTGGACAAGATACAAAAATATAGCTTTTTTCATGTGTTCACAAAAGCAAAATCTATACTACAATGCCATCTACACTGTACTTCTACCAAGAAGTAAAAAATAGTTTTAATACCCAAAGCATTATCTCAACAAGGGCAGGGAATATGTCTATTTATATTTCATATTCAATAGCTAGTATGTTATTTGACACATAGTAGATATCAACAAATATTTGTTGTTGGGTGATACTCCCAACAGTCACTATACACACCCTACTCAGTATCAGTTTTCTTTTCTACTCCACTCTCATCATTGGAAATGAGGGCCAAAATATCTTTAACAGCTATATCCAGGTATAATTCACATACAATAAAATTCACTTGGGTGGTAGAATTTATAATCTTTACTGGATGGGCCAAATCTCTGAAACACCTATCACTTGCAAAGTTCCTTCTAAGGGGCTTCGTCGAGTCCCCTTCTTTTTTTTGAGACAGAGTCTTGCTCTGTCACCCAGGCTGGAGTGCAGTGGCACGATCTCAGCTCAATGCAACCTCCATCTCCCAGATTCAAGCGATTCTCCTGCCTCAGCCTCCTGAATAGCTGGGATTACAGGCACTCGACACCATGCCCAGCTAATTTTTGTATTTTTAGTAGAGATGGGGTTTCGTCATGTTGGCCAGGCTGGTCTCGAACTCTTGACCTCATGATCCGCCCACCTTGACCTCCCAAAGTGCTGGGATTACAGGTGTGAGCCACCATTCCCAGCCTGTCAAATCCCCTTCTTAACCACTTTCACACAAGTCCCAATGCCACTGCCACATCACCTGTCAAACTAGCAATTAGCTGATTTAAGAAGGGATGGGTCCCTGACCCAAAGGCAGTCAGTCCACAGATATCCCTTGGGCCATGAGGTGAGTTATAAAGGAAAGGTCTCTCCAGTAGGCAAGATGGTGAACACCTATACTGATTATATTCATCTCTGAGAGAGTTTGACCTTGAGATATATAGAATTCAGGACCTAGAAGTTAAACTATAACCCCCAGAATGTAGCAGAGACAAAGTGAGAAACTGTAGCACACCAAAGGAGGGAACATAGAACCCCAGCTGTGAGGGATCAACAAGAGTCTGCTCTCTAGAGCTGAGAGACTATTATAGCCCAACTCCATGGGGAAGTAAGTGAGCCCTACCTAGCAACTGAGGCACAAGGTTTATCAGTGTTCACTGTCTAGCCGAAGCTGCCACTGATCTCCCAAGACATCTTAACAATACTTGGTTTTGACCTTGGTTACGCCCATTTCTCCAGCCTTGTATACTGTCCTTGTCCACAGAGCTTCTTTGATCAAGTCATGCAAGCCCCAGAAGCTTGTCTTATTGCCTTGAGCTGCCAGTCAGAGTGCAGGTCCAGTGATTCATTTTCTTCTAAGTCATTGCCAAAACTATTTTGCTTCTAATAAAAATGGTGGTGGCAATACCTGACATTTGCTGAGCATTTATTCTTTGCCCAGCCCATCTTTATCAGACTAAATTTTTCCAAGAGCCACAAGTAAGATTGGTCATTATCCTTATTGTACAAGTACACTAAGTCTTAGAAAACATAAGTAACTGGACCAAAAGGCAGGCCCTGGTCAAGGAGTCAAGATTTAAGCCAGGACTGCCAGATGCCTCGTCCTGAATATTTAGCTACTAAGTACATTGCCTTGAATTTATTATGTTCAAAGGATAAGGATATGAACCCTGGATATCCCAGGGAGAGTTAGGTACATGGAAGAACTTGGAAAAATAGTTAGAAAATAGAGCCAGTAGTGCTCTGCAGGAGTGTAAGAAAGGATTGTGACTTAACTGAAACCAAGGACACTGCCACATTCTTAAGAATTAACTTATTGCTATTCAAGGAGAATCTAAAGCCCCAATCATCCTAAAATGAATGAAAGGGACATAAAGCAAAGGCAATCAAGAGCAGCAGGATCCTGCAGCTCATGGGTCTGTTAAGATGACTTCCAGTTCCCCTGAGACCTACCTGTGCTGTATTGTCAACTTTCTGTAAAGGCTGTGGTAGAAGTTACTGTCCTCTTTATTCGTATTGATGTCCTCACAACAAATTCCTATTACTTAAAGTAGCATGAGTGTGGCTTAGCTTCTTGAAATCTAAAAACAAAACAAACAAAAACTCCAACTAAAACATATGTTATTGCAAGGAAAGGCATTCATCCTTTGTTTCCTTCTGCTAAAGAATGAATAATAGAGCTAAGAAGACAGACAGATGATGCACATAACAATTATATCAGTCAGGGTCCCAGCAGGTAACAGCTGGCACACTCAACTTGGAGGATTTGAAAACAGTTTAATAAAGAGACTATTTGCAAAGGTTTGAGCAGGCATGGGGGAAATTATGGGGAATGATGGTTCCATTCACCCTCTGGCCTGAAATGATGAGGGAAGGAAAGGTAACTGGAACATATGAACAATAAGAACTGTGTGGGGAGGGTCATGTGAGAGTCGCTGGTGCCTTTGGTCATTGAACAGGGACGCAGCAAGCCCAAAGTGACTGCAGAGAAACAATCTGGGGAATAAACACCCTGACCTCACTACCTTCCTCCCTCCAACTTTGATTCTCCCTGTTAGCCAGAGCAAACATGAAGCCAAAGAGCCAGGGAAACTGTTGTTATGGTTCAGCCTTCCGGGGCAAAGGCAGAGTCAAAAATAGCTATGGAAGAGAATGTGGGAAGACATCTGCACAGAGTGGCAAAAAGAAAAATTTGATGGGGATCAGGTTTAAGGAAAGAGAAGAAGGGTGGGCACGGTGGTGCATGGTGGCTCACACCTGTAATCCCAGCATTTTGGGAGGCCGAGGCAGGTGGATCACCTGAGGTCAGGAGTTCGAGACCAGCCTGGCCAACATAGTGAAACCCTGTCTCTAATAAAAGTAGAAAAAAATTAGCTGAGTGTGGTAGCACACGCCTGTAGTCCCTGCTACTCAGGAGGCTGAGGCAGGAGAATCGCTTGAACCCCGGAGGCGGAGGTTGCAGTGAGCCGAGATCATGCCACTGCACTCCAGCCTGGGGAATAGAGTGAGACTCCACCTCCAAAAAAAAAAAGTTTTAAAAAAAAAGAGAAGAGAAATTGTGACAATAGGGAGTAGGCAGTTATATAAATGTGTCAGGTTAGTGAACAGCCAAAAAGTACCAAAATTGAATCAAGAAGAAATAGAAACTATGAATACACCTATAATGAATAAAGAGATTGAATTAGTAATCTAAAAATTTCCCACAATAAAATGTTCAGGCCCAGATGGCTTCACTACTGAATCTACTAAACATTTTTCAAAAATTAACACTAATCCTCCATAAAATCTTCCAAAAAGTAGAAGTGGAAGTAGCACTTCTAAACTTATTCTATTATATGAAGTCAGTATTACTTTGATAGCAAAGCCAGACAAAGATATCACAAGAAAACTAAAAATCAACATATCTTATCAATATAGATGCAAAATTCCTCAAAATACTAGCAATGCCAATCCAACTATATATAAAAAGAATTGTAAAACATGACCATGTAGAATTTATCCTAGGAATGAACAGTGGGTTTAGCATCTGAAAGTCAATCAATACAAAAGACTACTAATAGAATAAAGAACAGAAACCACATGATCACCACAATAGATGCAGCAACAGCATTTGACAAAAATCCAACAACCTTTAATGATAAAACACTCAACAAACTTGGAATAGAAGAGAACTTTCCCAATCTTATAAAGTGCATCCATAAATGCAGCTAATATCATTATACTTCATGGTGAAAAACAATGATGTTATCCTCTTAAGATCAGGAACAAAATAAAGAGTATCTGTTCTCCCCACTTCTCTTCAACATTGTCCTGAAAGTTCTAGCCAGGGTAATTAGATAAGAGAAAGAAATGAAAAGCATTCAGACTGGAAATGAAGAAGTAGAACCATCTCTATTTGCAAAGCCATTATTGTACACATGAAAATTTCTAAGGAATTTACTAAAAACAAATTATTAGAACTAATAAACTAGCTCAGAAACATTGCAGTGTACAGGATCAATACACAAAAGTCAATTATATTTATTTCTATATATCAGCAATGAATACTTAGAAATGAAATTAAGATTACAATTACATTTATAATAGCATCAAAAAGGATAAAATACCTAGGAATAAATTTAGGTAAAGAAGTGCAAGACTTATGTGCTGAAAGCCACAAAACATTGTTAAAATAAATTAAGGAAGATCTAAATAAATACAAAGAAATCCCACGTTTATGAATGAGAAGACTTTATATTGTTAAAATTATAATTGACAGATTCAAATCTTGCCCAAATTCCTACCTAGAGGGTCTAGGGAGTCATGCCCTACAAACCACAAATTCTCATCAGATGGGTTTTATTTGACCCTACATATTGTGACTTACTTTTCAATCTGACTCTGGCATAACATTATGAGACAAGGGAAAAAAATATTTAACCCCAAAATATATTTCCTTGCCATACCTTGAGCTTGCCCTGCAAAGTCTCTTATGGGAGAAATCCACATTCTCTGGAGAATCCCCTTCTCCCTTTGTTTTCTTTCCTTTCTTTTCCAGATCCAGGAGATAATCAACGAAGAGCCAGGCATCCTTTTAGGTCCCATGAGAAACATTTTACAACCTGCTCTCTCTCTGAAGTTTGCTATCTGAGAGGTTCCCCTGAACAATAAAACTTGGTCTCCACAACCCTTTATTTTAACCTGAACATACCTTTCCATTGATCCCAGGTCTTCAGATAAACTCAACCAATTGTCAAGCAGAAAATGTTCAAATTTACCTGTAGCCTGGAAGCCCCCCCGCCACCCGCTTTGAGTTGTCCTGCCTTTCTGAACCAAACCAATGTATTTCTTAAATGTATTTGATTGATGTCTCATGCCTCCCTAAATTATACAAAACCAAGCTGTACCACGACCACCTTGGGCACATGTTCTCAGAACCTCCTGAGGACTGTGTCACAGGCCATGGTCACTCATATTTGACTCAGAATAAATCTCTTCAAAATATGTTACAGAGTTTGACTGTTTTTGTCAACATAAGTGACCAATAAATGTGAGCTCCATTCTCCTCTTCCCAGAGATGTGTCTTAAATTTATACTAATCTATGACATTTTTTCTATGTCATTGGAAAACATTTTTTCTATGTCTTTTTTTGGCGATCTCACTCTCTTTATATAAAATAAGTGCCCCCTGTAAAATCTCCCCATGTTATCTGTGTTGTTCCCGTGCACTGATAGATCTATCTCTGTTCTTCCTCTTGTCTAGAACCATGTTTCCCTAAGTGCTTTTTACTGATGAAAAGGCCAAGAGGTGACCATGTGAATATGGGCCAAGAAATGTTAACTTCTGGTTCTGTGAGAAGACAGCATTTGACTCCTTTCCAAAACAACCCCATCTGTGGAGAGCATCAAATGTTAGCGGACTGCTTTGCTGTGCTTAAAGTATTTCTGGCAGTCTTGGTGGGAGAAAGAAAACATTTCTTCTCTGAAGAAGAATGGTTATCTCCATTTACACTCAGATTGTTAGGTTATCTCCAATCTGAGTTGACAAAGGGAAAAGACAGAAATATGTAGTTTTTAATAATTACTTTTAACTTCCATGTACTAATCAAAGATCAGTTTTGATAATTGTACCTTGTCCTATCTAAAATTCCTTTCATATTAATGGGACATAACATATTAATTTATTGTTATAAATGGCAGTATTTTATCATCTCATGATTGTGTGTGTGTGTGTGTGTGTGTGTGTGTGTGTGTGTGTTTATACCCATAGTACCTTTATTCACAACAACCACAAACTGGAAGTAACTGAAATGTCCACCAACATGTGAATGACCAAACAAAATGTGACATATTCATGCAATATACTACTACTCAGAAACAAATTGCGTGACGTTTTATTGTTCTTATACACTAGAAATTTTCTTTATAAAATCTTCACTTTTTTGAAAGTAGTTTATGATTTTTGCTATTGTAAGCTACTCTTCTTCTAGGGGTATTTTTGCATGAATAGTCACAAGGATTCTCGATTATAGAAGTGTCTCTTCTAGAAAGTTCTATTTATCTTGCACAAGGGCTCCAAAGGTTTCACTGGTCCCAGACTGGTAATTTTAAAATATCTTTACTAAGGTATAATTGACAAAAATAAAATTTATATGATTAAAGTTTATAATTTGATCAATGTTGACATTTGGAGGTAAAATATGACCAAAGAAAAAGAAAAAAAAATTGAAATATATATGCACCCATGAAAATATCATTGCAATACAAAATTAACGTATTTATTACCCAAAAGAGTATTTGTGCCACTTTGTCATTCCTCTCTCCTGACCCACACACAACCCCACATTCCGAGGCAACCACCGATCTGCCTTCTGCCACTACAAATTAGTTTGCATTTTATAGATTCTTGCACAAATAAAATCATGACTAAGTACTCATGGTTGATTTGCTTCTTTCGTTGAACTACAATTGTTTTAAAATTAATCCATGCTGTTAATACTTATGGACAGTTTCTTTTTGGTGCTGAGTAGTATAACATTGCATGAATGTACTACCATTTATCAATTCACCTTCTTGTGGACACTTGGAGTTGTTTCCAGTTTGGGGATATTACAATTAAAGCTCCTATGATTATTCTTGTATAAGTCTTTGCATGGACATAAGCTTTCATTTTTCTTGGGAAAATGCCTAAGCACGGAATGTTGGGATAATATGGAAAACATAAACTAATTTCTAGAATAGTTGTACAATTTTACATTCTTACTAACAGTGTATGAGAGTTCCAACTCATCCACTTACTCATCAGTGCTTGATATAGATAGTCTTCTTAATTTTAGCCATTCTAATAAGTATATAGTGGTTTCTCACTGTGGTTTTAATTTGCATTTCCCAACGACTAACTATAGGGTGCATCCTAAGACTATGGCCTCAGGAACACTCTCGTGCAAGTCCACACTCAGCCTCCAGGAATTCACTGAAATTACCATGGAATTGTTGCTACCAGAGTTTATGGCTCTAGTGGTTTCTGCTCCAGTTAAGCAGATTTTGGGTTCTCTATCTTTGTGCCTTAGTCCATTTGCATTGCTATACAGGAATACCTGAGACTGGGTCATTTTATAAGGAAAAGTGGTTTCTGTGGCTCATTGTTCTGTGGGCTGTACAAGAAGCATGGTGCTTCACATTTGGTTCTGGTGAGGGTCTAAGGAAACTTCTACTCATGGTAGAAGGTGAAGGGATGCAGGCATCACATGGTGAGAGAGGGTGCAAGCTGGGAAGGGGGCAGTGCCAGGCTCATTTTAACAACCAGGACCCACCGTCAGGGAACTAATAAAGCAAGAACTGACTTATTACCACGAGGATGTCACCAAGCCATTCATGAGGAAATTGTCCCCCATGACCCAAATACTTCTCAGTAGACCCCACCTCCAACATTGGGGATCAAATTTCAATATTCAATTTGGAGGGGATAAATATCTAAACTATATTACTTTGGATGTGCCTATGTCTCCATATTTAGGGTGGCAGTTTATCCTAAGACTTCAGTTCTCTGATAGGTCCAAGAAAAGGCATTGATTTTCTAGTTTATCCAGCTTTTCCTTATTGTGAAGATTTCAAGTTTATTACAAAGCTGAAACTACATCTATGGAAAAGTTTTTAACTAAAGTTTTTAACCAAAATTTAATTTATTCAATAGATATAGGGCCATTTTGGTTATCTGATTATTCTTTTGTGAGCTTTCAAGGTTTGTGTTTTTAAGGAATTTTTCCATTTCATTTAAGTTGTCATACTTATTGGCATAAAGCTCTTTATAATAATTACTTATTATTTTTTAATATCTGTAGAATCTATAATCATGTCTATCTCATTTCTAATATTAATAATGTGTGACTTCTTTTTTCTCCAATTACTCTGGCTGGAGGTTTACCAATTTTATCTTCTCAAATAATCAGCATTTACTTTTATTGATTTTCTCTATTGGATTTGTTTTCTATATTATTGATTTCCATTTTTATCTTCATTATTTTATTTTTCATAATTTAGGTTTCATTTGCTTCTCTTTTTCTAGCTTCTTAATGAGGTGAAACCAAGATCACTAATTTAAGAATTTTTTTCTTTTCTAATGAAGTTTAGTGCTATAAATTTCCCTGTATATACTATTTTAGCTGTATCCTACATATCTTAATATGTTGTTTTAATTTTCATTTAAAAATACTTTTAAATTTTTATTGTTTCTTTGAATCTTATTTAGAAATGTGTTGTTTTTAGTTAGAGTATTTTCTGATATCTTTTCTTATTGGCTATTTATCTAATTCAGTTTTGCTCAGAGAACCTGCTTAGTATGACTTGACTCAAAGTTTATTCAGACTTGTTTTATGGACAAGGATATTATCTATTTTAATAAATGTATACTTAAAAAGTATCTGTCATTTGGTGGTGCATTCTATACATGACACAGGTCAAGGTGGTCTATGGTACTGTTCAAGTATTTATATTCTTATTGATATTCTGTCTTCTCATTTTAGGTATTATTGAAAGAAGAGTTAAAAATCATTGAACTACAATTGTGGATTTGTCCATTTCTTTCTATTTTAACAGTTTTTGCTTTATTTATTTTGGAGCTCTGTTAATAAGTGCATAAACATTTAGAAAATTTCTTAACTTTAAGTTCAGGGGCACAAGTTCAGTTTTGTTACATAGGTAAACTTGTGTCATGGGAGGTTGTTGTGCAGATTATTTCATCACCCAGGTATTAAGCCTAGTAGCTCCTAGTTATTTTTCCTAATCCTCTCCCTCTTCCCACCCTTTACCCTCTTATAGGCCCCAGTGTGTGGTGTTCCCCTCTATGTGTCCGTGTGTTCTCATTATTTAGCTCATTCTATTACATTTAGGAATCTATGCCCTCTTAATAAACAGGTCCTTACAAAATGACTCTCTTTATCTCTGCTTGTATTCTTTGCTCTAAAACCTAATTTATCTAAAATAAAAATAGCCACTCCAGCTTTCTTTGGATTAGGGTTATTGTGGCATATATATTGTGACCATCCACACTGCGTTTAACCTAGCTGTGTCTTCATATTTAAAGTTCCTTGTAGGTTTCTTATAGGCATGATATAATTAGGTCCTGCTTATCTGATCTGACAATATCTACCTTTTGGTTAGGGTGTTTAGAATATTTATATTTAATGTAATGTTTATATTTTTGGTCTTAAACAGACCATCCTCATAGTTGTGTCCTATATATTCCATATGTTCTTTTATCACATTTTTCTGTCTTCTCCCTTCTTTGGGATTAATTGAGCATTTTTTATTACATTTTTGCTTCTTTTTGCCTTAGCAGCTATAACTTTTAAGTTATTGTAGTTGTTGCATTAGGATGTATATTTTATAACTTTATTTTGTCACAGTTTACTTCTATGTGATATTTTTATCATTTCATTCATAAGGATTTTGCCAAAATTCTTCACAAAAGTTCTTTAAAGAAGAAGTTTCAATTCTCTCTCCCAGCCTTTTTGCTGTTGCTTTCATACATTTTACTTAATATATATGTTATAAATCCCAATTTATTATTACTTTTTATTTAAAGAGTTAATTATCTTTTAGGAAAAAAATGTAATAAGAGAGAAATGTTTCAATATTTACCCACTGTATTAGTCCATTCTCACACTGCTATGAAGAAATACCTGAGACTGGGTAATTTATAAGGGAAAAAAGGTTTAATTGACTCACAGTTCCACATTGATGCAGAGGCTTCAGGAAACTTACAATCATGGTAGAAGGCAAAGGAAAAGCAAGCACCTTCTTCACAGGGTGGCAGGACAGAATGAGTGCAAGCAGGGGAAATGCCAGGTGCTTATCAAATGATCAGCTCTCATGAGAACTCACTCACTATCACTAGAACAGCATGGCAGAAACCACTCCCATGATCCAATTACCTCCACCTGATCCCACTCTTAACGTGCAGATTATGGAGATTACAACTTGAGATGAGATTTGGGTGGGGAGATAGAGCCAAACCACATCATTCCACCCCAGCCCTTCCCAAATCTCATGTCTTTTCACATTCCAAACTAATCATCCCTTCCCAACAGTCCCCCAAAGTGTCATCTAATTTCAGCATTAACTCAGAAATCCACAGTCCAAAGTCTCATCTAAGACAAGGCAAGTCCCTTCCACCTATGAGTCTGTAAAATGAAAAGCAAGTTAGTTACTTCTTAGATACAATGGAGTACAGGCATTGGATAAATGTTCCCATTCCAAATTGGAGAAATTGGCCAAAACAAAGGAGCCACAGGCCCCATGCAAGTCTGAAATCCAACAGGGCAGTGGCTTTTTCAGGTGCACAGTGCAAGGCGTTAGTGGATCTACCATTCTGGGGTCTCGAGGACAATGGCTCTCTTCTCACAGCTCCACTAGGCAGTGCCCCAGTGGGGAATCTGTGTGGGGGCTACAATCCCACATTTCCCTTCCACACTGCCCTAGCAGAGGTTCTCCATGAGGGCTCCACCCCTGCAGCAAACTTCTGCTTGGACATCCAGGCATTTCCAAACATCCTCTGAAATATAAGCAGAGGTTCCCAAACCTCAATTCTTGACTTCTATGCACCTGTAGGCCCAACACATGTAAGCTGCCAAGGCTTGGGGATTACACTTTCTGAAGCAATGGCCTGAGCTCTACATTGGACCCTTTTAGCCATGCCTGGGATGCAGGGCACCAAGTCCTGAAACTGCACAAAGCAGCAAGGCCCTAGGCCCAGCCCACAAAACCATTTTTGCCTCAGAGATCTCCAGGCCTGTGATGGGAGGGGCTGCTGTGAAGGTCTCTGACATGCCTCAGAGACATTTTCCCCATTGTTTTGGTGATCAGCACTTGGCTCCTCATTACTTTTGCAAATTTTTGCAGCCAGCTTAAATTCCTCCCCAGGAAATATGGTTTTCTTTTCTACTGCATCCTCAAGCTACAAATTTTCCAAACGTTTATGCTTTGTCAGCTCTTGAATGCTTTGCTGCTTAGAAATTTCTTCCACCAGATACCTTAAATCATCTCTCTAAAGTTCAGTTTCACAGATCTCTAGGGCAGGGACAAAATGCTGCCAGTGTCTTTGCTAAAGCATAACAACAGGCACCTTTATTCCAGTTCCCAACAAGTTCCTCATCTCCATCTGAGACCACCTCAGCCTAGACTTTATTGTGCATATCACTATCAGCATTTTGGTAAAGACCATTCAACAAGTCTCTAGGAAGTTCCAAACTTTCCCACATCTTCCTGTCTTCTTCTGAGCCCTCCAAACTGTTCCAACCTCTTCCTGTTTCCCAGTTCCAAAGTTGCTTCTACATTTTTGGGTATCTTTATAGCAGCACTCCACTCTCACTACCAATTTACTGTATTAGTCCATTCTCACACTACTGTGAAGAAGTACCTGAGACTAGGTAATTCATAAAGGAAACAGGTTTAATTGACTGACAGTTCCACATAGCTTGGAAAGCCTCAGGAAATTTACAATCATGGCAGAAGGCAAAGGAGAAGCAGGCATCTTCTTCACAGGGCAGCAGAACAGAGTGAGTACAAGCAGAAAAAAATGCCAGATGCTTATAAAACCATCAGATCTTGTGACAGCTATCACTAATACAGCATAAGGGAAAACCACCCCCGTGATTCAATTACCTCCACCTGGTCCTGCCCTTGATACATGGGGGTTATGGGGATTACAATTTGAGGTAAAATTTCGGTGAGGACACAGAGCCAACCCATACCACCCATGTAATCATTTCTGTTTTTCTTCATTTCTTTGTGTAAATCTAGGTTCCCGACTGATACAATTTACCTCTCCTTGAAGGACTTCTCTTAGCAAGTCTTGCATTGCAGATCTCTGTATAAAGAATTATTGCAACTTTTGTATGTCTGAAAAAAAGCCTTTTTTGAAGAGTCTTTTCTTTGAAGTGTATTTTCGACAGACATATAATTCTAGGTTAAATTTTTTTTCAGTACTTTTAAAGATGCTGTGCCTTTTTTGTGGCTTCTATTGTTTTCAACAGGAAATCTGCTGTAATCCATATCATTGTTCTTCATTAAATAATGCATATATTTTCTATGAGGATTTTGAATTTTTTTTTCTTTTTAATCATGGGTTTTTTTTTAAATCATTGGTTTTAAGCATTTGATCATAATGTGCCTTGGTATAGTTTTCTTGTTTCTTGTACTTTGGGTTCATTGAACTTTTGAATCTGCATGTTTATAATTTTCACCAAATTTGGAACGTTTTCAGCTATTTTTTCTTTAAATGGTTTTTCAATCTCCTCCCTCCATCCTCTGCTTAAGGGACTATAATTATTTGTATATTTAGTTTCTTGAATTTTTTGCATAGCTCACTGATGCTCTTTTAAGTATTTTTTTCTATCTTTGTTTCTATTGCTATGTCTTCAAGCTCACTAATCTTTTGAGCTCTATTGTCTACTCTGTGAATTCTACCCAGCATATGCTTGATCTCAGAAATTGTCATTTTTATCTTTTAAAGTTTTATTTGCTCAATCTTTCTTCTGGCATTTGAACATATGGAACACAGCCATAATTACTTTTTAAATGTTTTCTTTTTTCTAAGTTTATCATCTATATCATGTTTAGTCCATTTTCATTTACTGATTTGTCTCAACATAGATTGCATTTTCCTATTTCTTTGCATACCTGGCAATGTTACTCAGAGTCCAAGCATTATATTTAGACCTTGTTTGGTACTAGATGCTTTCATATTCCTATAAATATTTTTGAGCTTTATCTAGGACATAGTTGAGTTATTTGGAAACTGTTCGATCCTTTCAGATCTAACTTTTAATCTTGATTAAGTAGGAACAGGACAACATTGGATCTAGGGTTCATTTTTTTTCTACAACTGATGCCCCACACATTATTAGGTTTTTTGCTCTAGCTGTTGACAATAAACACCCTTCCCAGTGATGTGTGAGTTCTATGTACTATTCCTCCTACTAGTTTGGGGTATTCTTTCTCCCACCTTTTCCCTCACGTGCACATTCTAATCAGTATTTCCCTCACGTGCACATTCTAATCAGTACTACTAAATATTTGAGGGAGAGTCTCTACTAATTTCCAGCATTTTATTTCTGCACAGCTCTCTTCTTTCTGTTACTCTACCATGCTAACCTCAGCTGCCTTAGCCTCTCCAAACTTCCAGATCAGTCTCTTCAACAGAGAGGAGGCTCCCCATCCCTGAGCCTTGTCCTTGTCCTGGAAACTTTCCAGGCCATTCACAACATATTAATCAAAAATTTGATTTTACTGGAGGGGCACTGTGCTTTGTTTGAAAATGACAGGAAAACCCCTAAGAGTTCATGCCATATTTTCCAAATTTTTAAAAGACAAATCTAGGGGTAGATACTTTCAGATAATTCCTTATTGCACTCATTTTATTGTTATGAAATTTATTGTATTTTATAATCTCTCATCCAAGCTCATATACTCTCATATTCTATATTGGTAATGAAGGCTTTTTCACTAAGTTCATTAAGAATATTATTTGGAGTTGTAATGTTTATATTATTATCATTTTGATATATAGATCCATCTTTTGTAGATTGTTTATATAATTCAATTCATATACAGGTGAGCCATTTTAAACCTCACCTTAATTATTAAATATTAAAGAAGACTGAAGAATGCAGTCCTAAATCATTCACAATTTTTAAGAACACAGTGATTAAAATAGAGAATTGTATATTTCTCTGACAAGATAATAAATCTTGTATTTAAAATATGGAATGTACTTGTAAGTTATTTTATCACTTTTTCTTCTAAAATTGCCAAAGCCTGCTGGTACTCTGTAGGCTTACAGGGATTCTGAGAGGTACAGTGGTCACATTTGAAGAAATGCTACCTTAGAAAATCCAATAAAACTATAGACCCTTTCAAAGAAATACATAGAAATGTTTCTGAAATGCATTTGAGACTTCAGGCTTGGAATCACTCTTATAGTGGTTTACTTTGATTAGGGAATAGATACTCCAATAAATAGATTATGAGCATGGTAACAGGGTCCCTTGTCTGAAAGCCTAATAATTTCTGAATAGGAACATCTGGAGTTATTTTCTCAATGTAGGATTATGATATGGCAGACAGTTATAATTACATAAGTAATCCAATATGAAAACTAAAATGAAAAATTTAGTGTAGTCTTATAATTTCAGGCGTCTTCGTATTCAAATATCATCCATAGGCAGAGTTCATTATCATTTACATATAATGAGTTTTGGAGAAATGGCTAAAGCCTTTTTAGACATTACTAAGCTGGAAATTACCAGAAATGCTGCAGGATACATCTAGAATACTAGGAAAGCCAGAGGTATATCTCCTTAAGTGAGGCAATGATGCTGTTACAAAACAAAAACAACAATTAAAAACCTAATGTGAGTCTTGGTGTTGTGGCTTTGGCACCAGTACAGTTCCTCATGGAAACCAGTCTTGGTTTCTACTCCACATGAATAGAAAAAGTGGCTGAGTGCGGTGGCTCATGCCTGTTATCCCGGCACTTTGGGAGGCCAAGGCAGGCAGATCACCTGAGGTCAGGAGTTCGAGACCAGACTGACCAATATGGAGAAACTCTGTCTCTACTGAAAATATAAAATTAGCCTGGCATGGTAGTGCATGCCTGTAATCCCAGCTACTCAGGAGGCTGAGGCAGGAGAATTGCCTGAACCCGGGAGGTGGAGGTTGCGGTGAGCGGAGATCGTGCCATTGTACTCCAACTTGGACAACAAGAGCAGAAACTCTGTCTCAAAAAAAAAAAAAAAAAAAAAAAAAAAGCATTTAGCCAAATTGCATCTACCACTTAGGTGTTACAAGTTTTAAACTCACTAGTTACTATCCACATGCATGTTCCTTTTTGAAATCAATAAGATATTCTTTTCAAATGACATTGTAATCAGATATCAATAAATTTTAAAATGCTTCCTAATTCAATTTGCTTTAATGTTAAAATTCATTTGAGTGTAAAATAACAAGCAAACAAAGATGCTTTGATTAGGAATAACTCAAGTTTTATTTAACTAAATATACTGGAGTTTGGTTTAAGATGTTTGCTAACACTTCTCAGCCCCACATCCCTCAGTAGCTCTCTAGCATGAAGCCTGCCTCAGGTTCTGATCTCAGATCAGCTGACTCTCAAGTAGTGTTATAATCTCTTATTAATATCTTCAAATGTAGAGGGACACCTTTCAAAATACCTTTGAAGGAGTTCATGAAAATAATTTTTCTACCTACCAGACACAGTGTAATATTTCGGATAGTTCATGGAAACTCTGCCATCCCAAGTAGAAAAGCAGCCCAATCTTTTTCAAGGTAAGGGAGATAATTGAAACAAGATCAAAAAATTAAACTCAGTACTGCAACCTTTACAACACAATACTATTATCTTCTAGAGCCTCTAACTCAGTGTCTCACACTGAGTAATTAACATATCCTGGTTATAGTGAGAACTTTCCAAATCTCTATTCCTTTGGTGACTTTTTAGAGCAGTATCAATAAAGGGCTTATAATAAGCATGGATTTTCCCCACTGGCTTCCTTCAAAGCCTGAAACTGCCTTGGAATGGAGCAAAAAGGATTAAAAAGTTTTAAATATTCAAAAGCAGTAGGCACAATGTTCCTGAGCCTAGGGACATAATAGAGAAAAACTGAACTGTTCCACTTTGAGTAATTCAAGCAATTATCAGAGGAATGCATATATAGCATATATAAGGCTTAAGATATAGGAACACAGTCAAGGAAATATAATTGGAGCTGTTGGGTTGAGAGAGGAGAAAAGCATTGGCTAGTCAGTTACTGAAGTTGCAAACTTTTTCATTGGAAAGTGTCCTGGATTTAGGTGAGAAGGCCTGATTCCTGTATCAGCTCTACTATTATCATCTGTATGACATGAGGCAAGTGACATATTCTCTAATTCAGTTCCCGCAGAAATAACACAATCTTCTTAGGACAGTTACAGGAATAATATTTTAAAAAATAAAAGCACCTGGCATCTCAGCACCTGGAGATGGATTTAAGACTTGGCTCTAACTGTCTGAATTAGTGTCTTTGAACATGCCACTTAACATCTCTGAACATCAGCTTCTTTCCGCTGTATGTTTAAAGATTGCTGGTATGACTCTGATGCTTGGGCTGACTACCAGAGAGCAAACATAAACCAGGCCCATACCAAGAGATTAGGACTTGAAGAATGAGAACCAGAAATGGCTTAAGCTATGTGTACAATGGACACTGGTATATATCGGTAATAAGTAGGGTTCCAGGAAACTGGTAAATCAGTAGTAACTTTGTGAATTTATGTATTCCCGAAATGTGCAGTCTTGTTTAGTCTGATTAGCTTAGAGACAGCTATTTGATTAATCTGTTCAATAAGGCAGAATTTGAAGACCTTTCCAGGGCATAAATGAGATCCATGTTGAGAAAGTCCCTAACAGGTAGACTTGGAGCACGTTCTGTAAAATAGTCATTTCTATAAAGCTGTTTACAGCAAAGTCCTTTCCCCATCTCTTTGAACTCCTGTCTCCCCTCAGCCAAACACTGGCCTGGGCACAAAAAGAGAAAGACTGTCAAATGGTCTTAACATTTGAAAGCTAACGTCAGCCAGGCACAGTGGCTCACACCTGTAATCCCAGCACTTTGGGAGGCCAAGGTGTGTGGATCGCTTGAGGTCAGGAGTTCAAGACCATCCTGGCCAACATGGTGAAACCCCATCTCTACTAAAAATACAAAAAATTAGCCAGTGTAGTGGTGAACACCTGTAATCCCAGCTACTTGGGAGCCTGAGGCAGGAGAATTCCTTGAACCTGGGAGGCGGAGGTTGCAGTGAGCTGAGATCTCACCAGTGCACTCCAGCCAGGGCGACAGAGTAAGACTCTGTCTCAAAAACATAAAAAAATATAAATAAAGCTAACTAAGGTAGAATAATAAGGGTTGCATTAGTGTTTTTGTCTTTTTACAATAGCCTTTCTAAAAATAAAACTAGCAAAGAGAATAAAAAGCAAAAACAAGCAAAGAAAACTACTCCATCTCTGATAAAATAAGACACAATTACAACTCCAAATCAAAATCTATGAAGAACAGTGTTCACGTATAGTATAACCTGGCCCGAATTCAGGAAAGGGGTTGAGAACAGAAACTTGTCTCTGTAGAACTATGGCAATACCCCAAATCCACAAAAAGTGAGTGGCAAAATTGATGTAACAAACCAGTAATCCACTGCTTCAAATAGCAGTATCTAGGAGGTTGGGCTAAGGGAAAGTCACGAGCCACGAGATGGAAGGAACAGGGCTTAAGAAGGATTTTTTCAGACTTAACATCTTTCAAAGTAGGCTATTAGTGAGGCAAGGTAGAATAGAAAGAGTGAATGGCCTGACAGAGAAGAAAAAGAAAAAAAAAAAAAGAGTGAAGAGAAACCAGCTCTGCAACGTATGCAGAAGTCAATGCTACATTGTCCTAGTAAGGGCCAGTGAGATGCACAGTTTCACTACTAGCCAGGCACATATCCAGGTCTCCAGGAGTGGTGATATAACTATGAAAACCCATGACCAGTAGAGTCAATAATTAAAGTGTGTTAGTACTCCAGCTTGTTCCCCTAACCTTTCCCTTACATTGTACTTCCATAAACACCAGGCCTAGGAATGAAGCTCTTTTTAAAGAACTAGTTTACAGTTCAACCATTGTGGAAGTCGGTGTGACAATTCCTCAGGGATCTAGAACTAGAAATACCATTTGACCCAGCAATCCCATTACTGGGTATATACCCAAAGGATTATAAATCATGCTGCTATAAAGACACATGCACACGTATGTTTATTGCGGCACTATTCACAATAGCAAAGACTTGGAACCAACCCAAATGTCCAAAAATGATAGACTGGATTAAGAAAATGTGGCACATATACACCATGGAATACTATGCAGCCATAAAAAAGGATGAGTTCATGTCCTTTGTAGGGACATGGATGAAGCTGGAAACCATCATTCTCAGCAAACTATCGCAAGGACAAAAAACCAAACACCGCATGTTCTCACTCATAGGTGGGAATTGAACAATGAGAACACATGGACACAGGAAGGGGAACATCACACACCAGGGACTGTTGTGGGGTCGGGGCGGAGGGGGAGGGATAGCATTAGGTGATATACCTAATGCTAAATGACGAGTTAATGGGTGCAGCACACCAACATGGCACATGTATACATATGTAACAAACCTGCACGTTGTGCACATGTACCCTAAAACTTAAAATATAATAATAAAAACAGATCAGAAATATCTAAAAAAAGATAAGAAACAGTGCATTTATACTATTAAAAATAAGTAAATAAATAAAAATGAGCAAAATTTAAAAGTATTATACAACAAAACAGAAAAAATGGAATAATCACCTCTCCACAAATTAAACAAAATATTGCCTAGCTTCTAAAACAGAGATTTCAAACACGAGATGATGACAACCAAAGTAGATTCAATATGAAACAGTGCAAATGCAAATCAGAAACTGAAGAGAAAAATAAATAATTACCAAGATAAAATTACTCTGAAAGCTACAAAAAGGAGAATAAACATAGGTGGGTCCAGCACATGGTGAATAGCATTGTAGTCAGGTGTGGTGGCTCATGCCTATAATCCCAGCACTTTGGGAGGCAGAGGTGGGCAGATCACTTGAGGTCAGGAGTTCGAGACCAGCCTGGCCAACATGGTAAAACCCCTATCTCTACTAAAAATACAAAAATTAGCCAGGTGTGGTGGCAGATGCCTGTAGTCCCAGCTACTTGGGAGGCTGAGGCAGGAGAATCACTTGAGCCCGGGAGGAGGAGGTTGCAGTGAGCTGAGATTGTGCCACTGCACTCCAGCCTGGGCAACAGAGCAAGACTCCATCTCAAAAACAAATAAACAAAAAAAGCAGCGTAAAGTAGAGTATAATAAAATGTAAAATATCAGAGTTAAATAGAATTAAGGAGAAAATAATAAATGCAGAATATATACAAAGACTAGTAAATCTTTAATGGGTGTCACTGAAGACAAGAATGAAACAAATGGAGCAGAAGAAATATTCACTGTACTATAAAACAAGAAATAAATATCAAAAAGATAGCAAAAATATACAAATATGTGAAAATTAAGCAACACACTCTTGAACAATCATTGGGTCAAAGAAGAAGTCAAAAGGCAAATTTAAAAATATCTTGAGACAAACAAAAATGAAAACACAACATACTAAAACTTATGAGATGCAGCATTCTTGGTGATAAATGCCTAAATTATAATAGAAGAAAGACCTTCAACAAATGAGTCAATGTTACGTCTAGGAACTAGGGAGAAAAAGATCCAAGCCTAAAGCTAGTAGAAGAAAGGAAATAATAAAGATTAGAGCAGAAATAAATAAAATACAGAACCCAAAAGCAATGGAAAAACATCAACAAAAGCAAGGGTTGGTTTTCTGAAAAGATGAACAAAAATTGGCAAATGCTTAACTAGACTAACAGAAAAGAGAAAAAATTCAAATACATAAAATCAGAAGTGGAAGAGATGACATTTCGATTGATGCCACAGAAATAAAAAACATCACTAAAGGATTATTAGGAACAATTATAAACCAACAAATTGGACAATCTAAAAGAAACAGATAAATATATGGAAGCATGCAACCTACGAAGAATGAATCAAGAAGAAATAGGAAACCTGAACAGACCCATATCAAATAAGGAGACTGAATCAGTATAAAAAAAATCTCACATCAAAAAAAAAAAAAAAAAAATCCCAAGACCAAATGGCTTCACAAGTAAATTCTAACCAAACATTTAAAGAGGAATTAATACCAATTCTTCTTAAACTCTTCCAAAAAATCGAAGAAAAACACTTCCAAAGTCTTTTTAAGGAGGCAGTACTACCCTGATACAAAGGCCAGATAAAGATACCACAAGAAAAGGTAAATACCCCTGATGAACATGAATGCAAAATCCTCAACAAAATGTCAGCAAACTGAATTCAAAAGCACAATAAAAGAATCACATACCATGACTAAGTGGATTTATCCATGAAATTCAAGAATGGTTCAACATACACAAATAAATCAATGTGATATGCAACATTAATACAGGATAAAAATTATAGAATTTTCTCAATAAATGCAGAAAAACCATTTGACAAAATTCAAAATTCTTTCATCATGGCTTGGTAGAAGGTAGATCATGGTGGATGGGAGGCAAAACTAGACTGCAGCTTCAACTTGGACAGTCAGAGCAGCGTGTGGAGGCTCTCATTGTGAATTTTTGCTCCAGAATGACTGCAGGAATACATCAGGAAATCTGAGAGGACCCACAGACCCTCTGAAGGAAGCAGATTGCTCCTGCAGGACCCAGAAGACACCCCAAATACTGTGAATGCCCAAACTGTGGATGTGGGAAAGGGAGATCATCCACCCCCAAACACACACCCTCACTGGGGAAACTGAAGGTCTAGATTATAGAAGAAGATTCTGACCTTACCTGGAGCTGAGTGAATTTAGATAGCCGAGTGAAATACAGGAGTAGAGGAAGCAGCAGGAAAAGCCCTGCTGGGTCCCCTAGGAAACCATTTCTGCCTGGCCTCACATGGGTCCTTCAGGAGGGTGGCTGGAGTCACTAGGAAAAGGATACAGGGAGAAGCGAATATCCAGCTGAACTTTGTAACAATTTGAACTGATCAAGAAGAATCCTGGCCAGAACTCAGGGGAGGGCGTGAATCCAGTGTGCAGATTCCAAAAGCAGGGGAAGAATGAAAGCCATACTTGGTTTTGCAGCTGGGAGGCAGGTAGCGTGGAGCAAGTCCTCAGCCCTACTTACCCACTGCCTGGAAACAGACTCAGTGCTGTTGGGGGTTACGGTGGGAGTAAGACCTGCCCTTTGGATTGCGTGGGAGCTGGGTGAGGCCTGTGACTGTCGGCTTTCCTACTTCCCTGACAAACTGCATGACACAGTAGAAACAGCCATAATCCTCCTAGAAACATAATTCCATTGACCTGGGAACCTTACCCCCATCCCCCACAGCAGCTGCAGCAAGACCTGCCCAAGGAGTCTGAGCTCAGACATACCAAGCCCTGCCCCTACCCAATGGTCCTTCCCTACTCACCCTGGTAAGTGAAGACAAAGGGCATATACTCTCGGCACTTCTAGGGCCCCACACACGGCCTATGCCTCCCCATACCACCACAGCTGATGCTCTCAGGAAAGCGCCACCTCCCAGCAGGAGGCCAACCAGCACAAAAATAGTGCATTAACCACCAAAGCTAAGAACCCTCAAAGAGTCCATTTCACCCCACTCCTCCACCAGAACAGGTGCTGGTATCCATTACTGAGAGACCCACAAATGGTTCACATCACAGGACTCTGTCACAGACAACCCCCAGTACCAGTCCAGAGTCTGGTAGACCTGCTGGGTGGCTAGATCCAGAAGATAGATAACAATCACTACAGCTCAGCTCTATGGAAGCCACATCCATAGGAAAATGGGGAGAGTACTACATCAAGGGAACACCCCATGGGACAAAATAATCTGAACAAACGCCTTCAGCCCTAGACCTTCCCGCTGACACAGACTGCCCAAATGAGAAGGAACCAGAAAACCAACTCTGGTAATATGACAAAACACGGTTATTTAACACCACCAAAAAATCATACTAGCTCACCAGTAATGAATCCAAACCAAGAAGAAATCCCTGATTTACCTGAAAAGGAATTCAGGAGTTTAGTTGTTAAGCTAATTAGAGAGGCACCAGAGAAAGGGGAAGCCCAATGTAAGGAAATTTTAAAAATGATATAAGAAGTGAAGAGAGAAATATTCAATGGAATATATAGCATAAATAAAAAACAATCAAAAGTTCAGGAAACAATGGACACGCTTATGCTGTGCAAAATGAAATGCAATGCAAAATGCTCTGGAAAGTCTCAGCAATAGAATTTAACAAGTAGAAGAAAGAAATTCAGAGCTCTCAGACAAGGTCTTTGAATTAACCCAATCCAACAAAGAGAAAAAAGAATAAGAAAATATGAACAAAGCCTCCAAGAAATCTGGGATTATGTTAAATGACCAAACCTAAGAATAATCAGTTTTCTTGTGCAAGAAGAGAAATCTAAAAGTTTGGGAAACATATTTGGAGAAATAACTGAGGAAAATTTCCCTGGCCTTGCTAGAGACCTAGACATCCAAACACAAGAAGCACAGAGAGCACCTGGGAAATTCATTGCAAAAACATCATCATCTTGGCACATTGTGATCAGGTTATATAAATTTAAGATGAAGAAAAGAATCTTAAGCACTGTGAGACAAAAGCACCAGGTAACCTGTAAAAAAACAACAACAACAAAAAAAACCTATCAGATTAACAACAGATTTCTCAGCAGAAACCCTACAAGCTAGAAGAAATTGGGGCCCTATATTCAGCCTCAAACAAAACAATTATCAGCCAAGAATTTTGTATCCAGAAAAATTAAGCTTCATATATGAAGAAAAGATACAGTCTTTTTCAGACAAACAAATGCTCAGAGAATTCAGCACTACCAAGCCACCACTACAGGAACTGCTAAAAGGACCTCTAAATCTTGAAACAAATCCTGGAAACACATTAAAAACACAACTTCTTTAAAGCATAAATCTCACAGGACCTATAAAACAAAAACACAATTTAAAAAACAAACACAAAAACAAACAAACAAACAAAAAAAAAACAAGCTTTACAGGCAACAAACAGTATGATGAATAGAATGGTACCTCACATCTCAATACTAACACTGAATGTAAATGGCCTATATGCTCCACTTAAAAGATACAGAATTGCAGAATGGATAAGAATTCACCAACCAACTATCTGCTACCTTCAAGAGACTCATCTATCACATAAGGACTCATATAAACTTAAGGTAAAGGGGTGGAAAAAGACATTTCATGCAAATGGACACCAAAAGCAAGCAGGAAGCAAGAATAGCTATTCTTTATTTATTTATTAATTTTTTTAGATGGAGTCTCACTCGGTCGCCAGGCGGGAGTGCAGTGATGCAATCTCAGCTCACTGGAACCTCTGCCTCCCAGGTTCAAGTGATTCTCCTGCTTCGGTCTCCCAAGTAGCTGGGACTACAGGTGCACACCACCATGCCCAGCTAATTTTTGTACTTTTAGTAGAGACGGGGTTTCACCATGTTGGCCAGTCTGGTCTTGAACTCCTGACCTCAGGTGATCCGCCTGCCTCGGCCTCCCAAAGTGTTGGGATTACAGGCGTGAGCCATCACGCCCAGCCAGTAGCTATTCTTATATCAGACAAAAAATCTTTAAAGCAACAGCAGCTTAAAAAGACAAAGAGGGACATTATATAATGATAAAAGGCCTTGTCCAACAGGAAAAATCACAATTCTAAACATATATGCACCTAACACTGAAGCTCCCAAATTTATAAACAATTACTAATAGACCTAAGAAATGAGATAGACAGAAACACAATAGTCGTGGGGGACTTAAATCTCCACTAACAGCACTAGACAGATCATCAAGACAGAAAGTCAACAAAGAAACAATAGATTTAAACTATACCCTGGAACAAATGGACTTAACAGATATATACAGAACATTCCATCCAAAAACCATGGAATATACATTCTATTCAACAGCACATGGAACTTCCTCCAAGATAGACCATATGATAGGCCATGAAACAAGCCTCAATAAATTTAAGAAAATTGAAATTATATCAAGCGCTCTCTCAGACCACAGTGAAATAAAACTGGAAATCAACTCCAAAAGGAACCTTCAAAACCATGCAAATACAAGGAAATTAAATAATCTGCTTCTGAATGATCATTGGGTCACAAAAATGAAATCAAGATGAAAATTTAAAAATTCTTCAAACTGAACAATAATACTGACGCAGCCTATCAAAACCTCTGGGATTCAGCCAAGGCGGTGCTAACAGGAAAGTTCATAGCCCTAAACGCCTACATCAAAAAGTGTGAAAGAGCACAAACACATAATCTAAGGTCACACCTCAAGGAACTAGAAAAACAAGAACAAACCAAACCCAAATGAAGAAGAAGAAAGAAAATAACCAACATCAGAGCAGAACTAAATGAAATTGAAACAAAAAAAATACATAAGATAAATGAAATGAAAAGCTGGTTATTTGAAAAGATAAATAAAACTGATAGACGATTAGCAAGATTAACCAAGAAAAGAAGAGAGAAAATCTAAATAAGCTCAATAAGAAATGAAATGGGAGATATTACAATGGAGACCACAGAAATACAAAAGATCATTCAAGGCTACTATGAACACCTTTACATGCATAAACTAGAAAACCTAGAGGAGATGGATAAATTCCTGGAAAGATACAACCCTCTTATCTTAAATTAGGAAGAATTAGATACCCTGAACAGACCAATTACAAGCAGCGAGATTGAAACTGTAATTTAAAAATTACCAACAAAAAAAAGTCCAGGACCAGATGGATTCACAGCACAATTCTACCAGATATTCAAAGAAGAATTGGTACCAATTCTATTGACACTATTCCACAAAAGAGAGAGAGGGAACCCTCCCTAATTCATTCTATGATGCCAATATCACCCTAATACCAAAACCAGGAAAGAACATAACCAAAAAAGAAAACTGTAGACCCATATCCCTGATGAACATAGATGCTAACATCCTTAACAAAATACTAGCTAACCAAATCCAATGACATACCCAAAAGATAATCCACCATGATTAAGTGGGTTTCATACTAGGGATATAGAGATTGTTTAACATACAGAAGTCAATAAATGTGAGACACCACATAAACAGAATTAAAAACAAAAATCACATGATCATTTCATTAGATGCAAAAAAAGCGTGCAATGAAATCCAGTATACCTTTATGATTAAAACTGTCAGCAAAATCAGCAAACAAGGGACATATCTCAATGTAATCAAAGCCATCTATGACAAACCCACAGCCAACATAATATTGAACAGGGAAAATTTGAAAGCATTCCCTCTGAGAACCGGAACAAAACAAGGATGCCCACTCTCACCACTCCTCTTCAACACAGTACTGGAAGTCCTAGCCAGAGCAATCAGACAAGAGAAAGAAATAAAGGACATCCAAAATGATAAAGAGGAAGTCAAACTGTTGGTGTTTGCTGATAATATGGTTGTTTACCTAGGAAACCTTAAAGACTCATCCAGAAAGCTCCTAGAACTGATAAAAGAATTCAGCAAAGTTTCTGGATACAAAATTAATGTACACAAATCAGTAGCTCTTCTATATAACAACAGCATCCAAGCTGAGAATCAAATCAATAACTCAACCTCTTTTACAGTAGCTGCAAAAAATAAAATAAAATAAAATGCTTAGGAATATACCTAACCAAGGAGGTGAAAGGCTTCTACAAGGAAAACTACAAAACACTGCTGAAAAAAATCATAGTTGAAATAAATGGAAACACATCCCATTCTCATGGATTGGTAGAATCAATATTGTGAAAACAACCATACTGCCAAAAGCAATCTACAAATTCAACACAATTCCCATCAAAATACCACCACCATTCTTCACAGAATTAGAAAAAACAATTCTAAAATTCATATGGAACCATAAAAGAGACCTCATATCCAAAGCAAGACTGAACAAACAGAACAATTTTGAAGGCATCACATTACCAGATTTCAAACTATACTATAAGGCCATAGTCACCAAAACAGCATGGCACTGGCATTAAAAAATAGGTATAGGCATGGGCAAAGACTTCAAGACTAAAACACTAAAAGCAAAGGCAACAAAAGCCAAAACTGACAAATGGGATCTAATTAAGCTAAAGAGCTCTGCACAGCAAAAGAAACTATCACCAGAGTGAACAGACAAACTACAGAATGGGAGAAAATTTTTGCAATCTATCCATCTGACAAAGGGCTAATATCCAGAATCTACAAATAACTTAAACAAATTTACAAGAAAAAAAACCCCATCAAAAAGCAGGCAAAGGATATGAACAGACACTTCTCAAAAGAAGACATTTATGCAGCCAACACACATATGAAAAAAAGCCCATCATTAGAGAAATGCAAATCAAAACCACGATGAGATACCATCTCATGCCAATTAGAATGGTGATCATTAAAAAGTCAGGAAATGATAGATGCTGGAGAGAATGTGGAGAAATAGGAACACTTTTACACTGTTGGTGGGAGTGTAAATTAGTTCAACCATTGTGGAAGACAGTGCGGTGATTCCTCAAGGATCTAGAACCAGAAATACCATTTGACCCAGCAATCCCATTACTGGGTATATATCCAAGGACTATAAATCATGCTACTATAAAGACACATGAACATGTATGTTTATTGAGGCACTATAGCAAAGACTTGGAACCAACCCAAATGCCCATCAATGATAGACTGGATTAAGAAAATATGGCACATATACACCATGGAATACTACGCAGCCATAAAAAGGATGAGTTCATGTCCTTTGCAGGGACATGGATGAAGCTGGAAACCAGCATTCTCAGCAAACTAACACAAGAACAGAAAACCAAACACCACATGTTCTCACTCATAAGTGGGAGTTGAAAAATGAGAACACATGGACACAGGGAGGGGAATATCACACACGAGGGCCTGTCAGGGGGTGGAGGGCTAGGGGAGGGATAGCATGAAGAGAAATACCTAATGTAGATAACGGGTTGATGGGTGCAGCAAACCACAATGGCATGTGTATACCAATGTAACAAACCTGCAGATTCTGCACATGTACCCCAGGACTTAAAGGATAATAAAAAATAAAAAATAAAATAAAACCCAAAGCTTATAGGAAAAGATAGGCACATAGACCAATAGAACAGAATAGAGAACCAAGAAATAAACCCAAATACTTACAGCCAACTGATCTTCGACAAAGCAAACAAAAACATAAAGTGGGGAAAGGACACCCTTTTCAACAAATGGCGCCGGGATATTTGGCTAGTCACATGAAGGAGAATGAAACTGGATCTCCATCTCTCACCTCATACAAAAATCAACCCAGATGGATTAAGGACTTAAATGTAAGGCCTGAAACTATAAAAATTCTAGAAGACAACATTGGAAAAACCTTTCTAGACCTTGGCTTAGGCAAGGATTTTATGACCAAGAACTCAAAAGCAAATGCAACAAAAAGATAAATAGCTGGGTCTTAATATAACTTAATATAACTTTTGCATGGCAAAAGTCAGTCACCATAGTGAACAGACAACCCACAGAGTGGGAGAAAATCTTCACAATCTATACATAAGACAAAGGACTAATATCTGGAATCTACAATGAACTCACACAAATCAGCAAAGATAAAAACAAAAATCACATCAAAAAGTGGGCTAAGGACATGAATAGACAATTCTCAAAAGAAGATATACAAATGGCCAACAAACATATGAAAAAATGCTCAACATCAGTAATGACCAGGGGAATGCAAATCAAAATAATGCAATACCACCTTACTCCTGAAAAAATGGCCATAATCAAAAAATAGTAGATGTTGGCACAGATGTGGTGAACAGGGAACACTTCTACACCGCTGGTGGGAATGTAAAGTAGTACAACCACTATAGAAAACGTTGTGGTAATTCCTTAAAGAATTAAAAGTAGAATTACCATTTGATCCAGCAATCCCACTACTGGGTATCTACCCAGAGGAAAAGAAGTCATTATATGAAAAACATATTTGCACATGCATGTTTATAGCAGCACAATTCACCATTGCAAAAATGTGGAACCAGCCCAAATGCCCATCAATCAACAAGTAGATAAAGAAACTCCGGGGTGTGTGTGTGTGTGTGTGTGTTGTGTGTGTGTGTATGATGGAATACCACTCAGCCATAAAAAGGAATGAATTAATGGTATTTGCAATGACCTGGATGAGATTGGAAACTATTATTCTAAGTAAAGTAACTCAGGAATGGAAAGCCAATCATCATATGTTCTCACTCATAAGTGGGAGCTAAGCTATGAGAATGCAAAGGTATAAGAATGACACAATGGACTTTGGGGACTCAGGGAGAAAGGGTGGGAAGGGGGGTGAGGGATAAAAGACTACCAATAGGGTGCAGTGTATACTGTTCAGGTGATGGGTGCAGCAAAATCTCACAAATCACCACTAAGGAACTTAACCATGTAACGAAACACCACCTGTTCCCCAGTAACCTATGGAAATAAAAAATTTAAAAACAAACAAAATTAAAAATCCTTTCATGATGAAAAATCTCAACAAATTATATGCCGAAAGAAGCTGATTCAACACAATAAAGGCTACAAATTAAAAACCCATAGTTAACATCTTGCTCAATGATGAAAGCTTTTTCCCCAAGATCTGAAACAAGTCAAGGATGCCAACTCTCACTGCTTCTACTCAACATGATACTGAAAGCCTTAACCAGAGTAATTAAGGAAGAAAAAGAAATAAAATGCATCTAAATAAGAAATAAAAAAGTAAAATGATCTGTTTGCAGATATAATGTTATATGCAGAAAACCCTTACAATTTCACAAAAATAATTGTTACAACTAATAAATGAAATCAGCAAAGTTTCAGGATACAAAATCAATACACAAAAATCAGTTCCATTTATATATACTAACAACAAATTATCCAAAAAATTAAGAAAATCTATTTTTCACCCAATTCATTCATCCCCTTGGTTAAGTTTATTCACAAGTATTTTTATTTGATATAACAGCATCAAAAAATACTTATGAATAAATTTAACAAAGGACGTGAAAGAATTGTACATTGAAAACTATGAAGCACTGATAAAATAAGTAGCCACAAACAAATGAAATGACATCTATTTTAAAAAGTAATCCAACAAAATATAAAAATAATAATTCCTCATGACCAAGTGAGGTGTACCCAGAAATGTAGAGTTGATTTAACATTAGAAAATCAACCAATGTTCCAAGCATGGCTGCATTTTAAATTTTTTAAAAATATATCTAAAGAAAAGAAAATCAAGCAATGTAATCTACCATATAAACTAACATAAATAAAAAAAACTGTTTAATCATCTTTACAGATGCAGAAAAAAACATTAGGGAAAATACAACATTCATACCTCATAAACTCTCTTAGAAAACTAGGACTATAAAAGAACTTTCTCAACTTGATGAAGGCCATCTATGAATCACTAACAGTTTATATCATAATTAATGGTGGGAGATTGAATGCTTTCCCCCTGTGACCACGAACAAGACAAGTCAAGGACTCTTACCATTTATATCCAGTGTTCTACTGGAGTTTCTGGCTGTGCAGTCAGACGAGAAAAAGAAAAGGCCAGGTTAGAAAGGAGTAAACTGTCTTTATTTGATACATGTTAAGTTTATGTATAAAATTAAATATAATCTAAAAAGAAGCTACTAGATTTAATAAGTGAATTTATTAAGGTTTCAGGATCCAAGAGCAATATATAAATATCGAATATATTTCTTTTTTTTCTTTCTTTTTATTCATGCCAGAAGACCCTAAATTCAATGTATTTCTGTATGCTAGCAACAAACAGTCCAGAATTTAAGCTAAATAAACAAGCCCACTTACAAAAACATAAAAAATACAAGCTACTTATGGGTGAATTTTACAAAAGATGCATTAAGACTTGTACGCTGAAAATTAAAAAGCATTGCTAAGAAATTTTAAACTATTTAAATAAAGTGACACAACATGTTCCTGAATTGGAAGATTAAATATTAAGACACTGATTCTTCTCAAAATGATCTTTAGATGCAATACAATGTTGAATCTAAAAATTTACAAGCTGATTCAAAACTTTATATGCAAATACAAAGAAACTAAAATAACCAAAATGATTCTGAAAACAAACTTGAAGAGCTTGCACTACTTCATTTCAAAATTATCATGAAGCTACACTGATTAAAACGGTGTGGTATTGACGCAAAGATGACCAAATCAATCAATGGAACAGATTACAGACCCCAGATGTGGACTCACACATATATGGTCAATTAATTTTCAACAAAGTTGGCAAGGTATTTTAATGAAAAAAAATAAAATTTCTACCCATTTTGCAAGAACTGTAGCTGGTATGGATTCTAATCTCACACTTCACGCACAAAATTTACCTAAAAACATATCACAGAATTAAATATAAGAGCTAAAACTATAAAATTTCTAGAATAAGACATGGGAGAAAATATTACTTACCTCAGGCTTGGCAAAGATTTCTTAAATATGACACAAAAGCACAAATTATAAAAGGAAAATATCAATAAACTGGATTTCATTAAAATTAAAAATGTACTTTAACAGACACTGTCAAGAAAATGAAAAGACACAGACTGGGAGAAAGTATCTGTACAACATGTATTCAACAAAAGACGTGTATCTAGAATATATAAATAAATTTTACAGCTTAAAAGAAACGAACTACCTGATTCTAAAATATGGGCAAAAGATTTTAAACAGATACTAGCAGATGGGAGGCATTGTTAGCATGCCTGTCCCACTTGGAAAGACAAAATAGTGAGTAGAAATTCACCTGTGAACTTTTTTCCAAGAAGCAACACAGGAACTTAACAGAAAACTGAAAGAAACATCAGACCCTTTGAAACAAATGGCCGGCAGCAGCCTACATGGTAAAACAAACTGAAAACTGTGAGTCTTCATAGCATGAGACAGGGAGAAACTGCCAAGGCAACACACACTTGAACAGGGGAGCCAAGCCATCCAGGCCAGGGGAAGGTCTTGACCCTCTCCAACGCAGGAGCTGATGTAGGGAGTGATGGGGAGTATACGAGAAGGAGCGGCATTGGGATGTGCTTTATATGCCCTCGCGGACTCCATCAGGGATGCAAGGAAGCCATTCCTGATCCTGCTTCACAGGGTACCTTGCAGAAGTCTGCCAGCTAACTCAGGTAGTGATCATAGGTTGAGAGAAGCCCCTAATTGGAATTTGAAATACAACCTTTAGTGGGGATGAGCCCCATTGGCCAGAACTGAGGCATAAGAAGGACACGTGCTACAGCCATGGGCGCAGGAGCTGGATACTCCTGCTTCACTGGCAGACAAGGAGGGGCATGGCCTGAGAGCAATGGTTTCTGTCTCCCTCAGGAAGGCTTATGGCCTGGAGCAGTTTTGAGTTCTGAGCACAGGCTGCCTCGAACCTAGCTAGCTGCTATTAGCAGAACACTGGAATGTGAGATCAGCCTTGCCAAGTGTATGGGAGCTGAGTGGGGCTTACTGCTGCCTGCCACTCCCTACTCCCCATGTAGATTCTTTTGTGTGACGCAAAGGCAGCTGCGCTCCTCCCTGGAACGTTACCACGGTGGAAAGGCAAATGATCTCTGATCCCCATTGGGGCCACTACTTGTGCCCACATGTGGGGAGCCAGAGCACAAAGAGCACAAACATAGCGGACCTAGCTTCCACTGGCTTTCACTCTCAACCTACCCTGGTAGCATAACATAATGAACAGGGACATTTGGTACTGTCACATTCCCTCCCACTGCCTGAAACACCAGATCACCTCCCCTGGGTAACATAAGGTAAGCACAGATTCCTCCGCTCTCACCACAGCTGGTGCTCTTTTGCAAGTGCCACCTACTGGCTGGAGGCCAACTGGCACAGCCCATTATATCATCTGCAAGCACAATAATACAGCACTCAGGAAGGAGAAAGCTTTTGCACCACCTCAGCTATTAGCATTGCTTTCATCACCCTGGCTAACCAGGAGGTCATGAGTCTGTCCACATGCCCAATACATTACTGCTACAGCTGGCACTTAAGAAAGCCAACACACTAAGGGTATTTATAACAAAGGAAATCTCAGTGTCAACATCATTCCCATCCCACCCTCATCAGAGCTGGTGCTGGTACCCACTGCTGGGAGCCTAGAGGACAGATCAGATCACATCACTGGATCCCTTACAGACATTCCCCAGCACCAGCCTACAGTGTTGCAGCCCCACCAGATGGCTAGACCAAGAGGGGGAGCAGGATTAGTAGTAGGCTGGCCCTCAGGGATAGTCACTCCTAAGGAAGGGTGAGGACAACACATTAAGGGAACACCCTGTGGGACGAAAGAAACCAGACTGCAGGCCTTGAGTCCAGGCATTTTCCACTTATGAGAAGTTTCTTTCAGATGAGGCATAGGCCCAAAGTTGTGCTCAGTAAGGAAAGTCTGCAACTCTTCATCAATAGTCAGGCATCCCTGGTGCTCATGAAGAGTCTTGGAGAAGGAGACTTTTTCTCCCCCTTGCCCACCACTGCAGATGCAGCTGGGGCTTCTCCTAGAGAGCTTGGCATGGGTGCATCTATAGGCAGCCTTTTGGGAACACTTCAGAGTAACTGCATAACCACAGGAGGTGTGCCCCCCAGGTCCAGGCTAGCATGAGAGTTAGAGTTACAATCCCTCTCGCATGGAACGTTAGCATTCCTGCAGATGAATGGAGGTGCCTGTCTGATCTGAATAGCCAGAACACCAGGTCTGGAGTGTTACTGGGAGGTGGATCACTTTCCTGCTGGCCTGGAAGGAGATCTGTGGTAGCCCCTGAAAACACCTCAGTGCATTTTACTGAGAGCTTCCCTAGCCACCTCCGTCAAAGCTGGGACCTCTGCCCACCATTGGGGTATTGCATTTACCCACCTGCTTTAGCCACAGCTAGTTTTTAGCTAAGCTACATGACATAAGCTTCGTGAGACCTCCGCCATTCCAGTCCCAAAGGAGACAGTGAACATGCTCCCACACCTTCTACTACAGCATCTGAGAAAGTCATCACACAAAGATTCACTATAATTAAGTGTATCAGTCTTTTCTCACACTGCTATAAAGAAATATCTGAGACTGGGTAATTTATAAAGAAAAGAGGTTTATTGGCTTATGGTTCTGCAGGCTCTACAGGAAGCATGGCTAGGGAGGCCTCAGGAAATTTCCAATCATGGCAGAAGACAAAGGGGCAGCAGGCACATCTTACATGGCTGGAGCAGGAGAAAGGGGGAGGGGAGATACCACACTTTTAAACAGCCGGATCTCATGAGAACTCTATCACAAGACAGCACTAGGGGGGTAGTGCTAAACCATTAGAAACTGCCCCCATGATCCAATCACCTCCCACCAGGCCCCATTTCCAACAATGGGGATTGTAATTCTTTGACACGAGACTTGGATGGGAACACAGAGCCAAACTGTATCACAAAGGAATTCATACAGATTCTTCACCATTGAAAGTGCTCAGAGCCAAAGATAGGTGACAATAAACAATAAACATTAAAGTCACTTCCTGAAGGGGAAAAAAAGAAATTTTTAAAAATCTAGTTGAATAAAAAATAAATGCAAAAATGATTAGAATAAATAGTTTACCTAAATTAGAAGAAAATAGAAAAGTAATTCCACCAATATGAAAAAATAGCATCTTATAACACCCCAAAAATCACACTAACTCTCCAGCAAGTGGATACAAGCAATGACAGAATCTTTGAAATACCAGCTAAAGAATCTAAAAGATTGGTTATTAGGTTATTCAAGAAGATACAAGAGAAAGATGAAAACCAACATAAAGAAATTTTTTGAAAAATTATCTAAAGAGGTAAATGTTTTAAAGAAAACCAATAAGAACTTCTGGAAATGAAAGACACATTTGGGGAACTACAAAATGCAGTGGGAAGTTTTAACAATAGACTACAACAAGTAGAAGAAAGAATTCCAAAGCTCAAAAACAAGGCTTTTCAATTAACCCAGTCAGATAAAAATAAAGAAAAAAAAATAAAAGCAATGAGCAAAGTCTCCAAGGAATAAGAGATTATATAAAATACCAAAACTAAGAATTATAGGTGTTCCTGAGGGAGAAGAAAAAGCAAAAAGTCTGGAAAACCTATTTGGGGGAATAATTGAAGAAAACTTCTCTTTGCTTGCTAGAGATTTAGGCATACAAATAAAAGAAGGTCAAAGAACTCCTGAAAAACTCATTGCAAAAATGGCATCACTAAGGCATACAGTCATCAGACTATCTAAAGCCAATATGAAGGAAAGAATTATAAGAGCAGTGAGATAAAAGCATCAGGTAACCTATAAAGGAAAACCTATCAGACTGACAGCAGACTTCTCAGTAGAAACCTTATAAGCCATAAGGAATTGGGGTCTTATCTTTATACACCTTAAACAGAATAACTGCAGCCAAAAATCTTGTATTCAGCAAAAGTAAGTTTCATAAATAAAGGAGAAATAAAGTCATTCTCAGACAAGCAAATGCTGAGGGAATTTGTCCATTCTAGACCAGCCCTACAAGAAATGCTAAAAGGAGTTCCGAATCTTGAAATAAAAGGTTGATATGCACCTGAATAGAAACTCCTCAAAGCATACAATTCACATGGCTTATCAAAGAGTAACACAATAAAGAAAGTCACTAGGCAACTATCAACACGATGGCTGGAATGGTACCTCACATCTCATTGTTAACATTGAATGTAAATGATCTAAATGCTCCATCTATAAATATACACATTGACATAATGGATAAAATATCACAAACAAAATATCTGCTGTCCTCAGGAGACACACCTAACATGTAAGGATTTTTATAGATTCAAGGTACAAAGAGGTGGGAAAAGAAATTTCACACAAATGAAAACCAAAAGTCGGCAGGGGTAGCTTTTCTCATATCAGATAAAACAGATTTTGAAACAATAATAGAAAAAAAAGACAAAGAAGGTCATTATATAATGATAAAAGGAACAATTCAACTAGAAGATATAACAATCCTAAATATGTATGCACCAGAGTTCCCAGATTCATAAAGCAATTACTACTAGACCTATAAAAAGAGAGCAGCACAATAATAATGAGGGACTTTAATACTCCTCAGATGGCACTAGACAGATCATTGAGGCAGAATATCAACAAACACTGGATTTAAACTGCACTCTAGAATAAATGAACCTAACAGATATTTACAGAACATTCTACTCAAGAACTGCAGAATGTACATTACTCTCATCAGCACATGAAACATTTGCCAAGATAAATCATATTCTAGGCCACAAAACAAGTCTCAATAAATTTGTAAAAGTTGAAATCATATCAAGTATCTTCTCAGACCACAACAGAGTAAAGAACTCCTGAAAAAAATCAATACCAAAAGGAACCCTCAAAACTATACAAATACATGGAAATTAAATAATCTACTCCTGAGTGGTTTTGGGGTTAATATGAAATCAAGACAGAAATTTTAAAAGTTTTCAAAAAACCCAAAGCTAGCAAAAGAAAAGAAATAACAAAGATCAGGGCAGAACTAAGTAAAATTGAGACCACAAAAGATACAAAAGATCAATGAAGCAAAAACCTGGTTCTGTGAAACTATAAATAAAATTGATAGACCACTAGTTATATTAAACAAGAAAAGAGAAGAGTCAAATGAGCTCAGTTAGAAATGGAAATGAAGACACTACAATGTACATCACAAAAATACAATACATAGTAGTCTCATTTGAGACTACTATGAACAATGCGTTTACAAACCAGAAAAGCTACAGGACATGGATAAATTCCTGGAAACACACAATTCACCTAGTTTGAATAAAGAATAAATAGAAATTCTGAACAGACCAATAACATGCAGTGAGGTTGAATCAGTAATTTTAAAACTGCCAACAACAACCACAAATCCCAGGGCCAGATGGATTCACAGCTGAATTCTATCAGACATTCAAATAATAATTGGTACAAATTCTACCAAAACTATTTCAAAATGTTGAGAAGGACAGAATACTCCCTAACTCATCCTACAAAGCAAATATTAACCTGATACCAAAGCCAGGAATGAATATTATAAAAAAGAATAAAACTACAAACAAAGATCCCTAGTGAATATAGATGTAAAAATCCTCAACAAAATATGAGCAAACTGAATCCAAGAGCACATAAAAAAAAAATTCACCATGATCAAGTGGGTTTCATTCCAGGGATGCAAACATGGTTCAACAAGCAAGTCAATAAATGTAATTCATCATATAAGCAGAATTGAAAAAAACATATGATCATCTCAATAGGTGCAGAGAAAGCATTTGATAAAATTCAGCACTACTTTATGATAAAAACCCTCAACAAGCTAGCCATAAAAGGGACTTACCTCAAAATAATAAAAGCCACATATGACAAAACTACAGCCAACATCATAATAAATGCGGAAAAGTTAAAAGCATTCCCCTTAAGAACTAGAACAAGACAAGGATGACCCCTTTCACCAATTCTATTCGACATAGTACTAGAAGTTCTAGTCAGAGCAATTAGGCAAAAGAAAGAAATAAAGGACATCCAATTGGAGAAGAGTAAGTCAAACGATCTCTGTTTGCCAATGATATGAACTTATCATTCATATATATCTAAAAAATATATATGAATAAATTCATATATATCTAAAAAATCCTAAAGACTCCTCCAAAAGACTCCTAGATCTGATAAATGAATTTGGTAAAGTCTCAGGTTACAAAATCAATGAACACAAATCAATAGCACCACTATACACCAACAACAACCAAGCTGAGAATCAAATTAAGAATTTCATCCCTTTTAAAATAGCTGAAAAAAAAATACCTAGGAATATACTTAACCAAGAAGATGAAAGATCTCTACAAGAACTCCAAACACTGCTGAAAGAAAGCATAGATGACACAAATAAATGGAAATACATCCCATGTTCATGGATTGGAAGAATCAATATCATGAAAATGACCATATTGTCCAAAGCAATCTACAGATTCAATGCAATTCCTATCAAAATACCAACATCATCTTTCACAGAATCAGAAAAAAATCCTAAAATTCATATGGAACCAAAAAAGAGCCTGAATACCCAAAGTAATCTTAAGGAAAAAGAATAAATCTGGAGGGATAACATTACCTGACTTCTAACTATACTACAAGTCTATAGTAACCAAAACAGCATGGTAGTGGTATTAAAGTAGATACATAAACCAATGGAATATATTAGAAAAGCCAGAAAGAAAGCTAAATACTTACAACCAACTGATCTTTGACAAAGCATACAAAAACATAAACTGGGGAAAGGACACCCTATTTAACAAATGGGGCTGGAAAAATTAGATAGCCATACATAGAAGAATGAAACAGTTTCCCTATCTCTCACCATATAAAAAAATTAACTCAAGATGGATTAAAGACTTAAATCTAAGACCAGAAACCATAAAAATTCTAGAAAAAAAAAAACTAAGAAAAACTCTTCGGGACCTTGGTCTTATGACTAAGACCCCAAAAGCAAATGCAACAAAAACAAAAATAAATAAATGGGATCTAATTAAGATAAAAGGCTTCTATACAGCAAAAGAAATAATCAGAGTAAACAGACAACCTATAGAATGGAAGAAAATATTTGCAAATTATGCATACAACAAAAGACTAATATCCAGAATCTACAAAGAACTCAAACAAATCAGCAAGAAAAAAAAAACAATCTCATTAAAAAGTGGGCAAAGGATATGAATAGACATTTCTCAAAAGAAGATACGCAAATGGCCAAAAAACATATGAAAAAAATGTTCAACATCACTAATCATGAGGGAAATACAAATTAAAACCACAATGAGATACCTCCTTACCCCAGCCATAATGGTCATTATTAGAGTCAAAAAACAATAGATGCTGGCATGGATATGGTGAAAAAGGAATGCTTATACACTGGTGGTGGGAATGTAAATTAATAAAACCTCTATGGAAAACGGTAAGGAGATTTCTTAAAGAACTACTCTGCCATTAAAAAAGAACAAAATAATGTCTTTTGTAGCAACTTGTATGGAACTAAAGGCTATTATTCTAAGTGAAGTAACTCAGGAATCAAAAAAAAAACCCACATATTCTAACTTATAAGTGGGAGCTAATCTACGGGTACACAATGGCACACAGCATGATATAATGGACATTGGAGTTTCAGAATTTGAGAAAGCTGGAGCAGGGTGAGGGATAAAAAATTACCTATTGGGTACACTGTACACTACTTGGGTGATAAGTGCAGTAAAATCCTAGACGTCACTACCATACAATTCATTCATGTAACCGAAAACCACTTGTACCTTTAAAGCTATTAAAATAGAAAAAATTTCAAGATTAAAACAGACACTTCATCAAAGATAATATATGAATTAATAAATAAGCATCTGAGAAAAGTATCAACATCATTAGTTATTATTGGGGATATTTAAATTAAATTCACAGTGAGATACCACTCAGTAGAATGGCTAAAATTTAAAAACTTGATCACACCAAATATTAGCATATATGTAGAACAATTAGAACTCTCATACATTGTGTGTTGGAATATAAAATGGTACATCCTCTTTGGAAAACAGTTTTGCAGTTTCTTAAAATAGACATACACCTACCATACATCTCATCCATTCCCCTCTAGATGTTTATCTAAGACTAGTAGTTGAGCAAATGTTCACAACAAAGACTTGTACACGAATGTTCACAGCAATTCTATTTGCAATAGCCAAAGATCAGAAACAACCTATCAACAGGTGAATGGGTAAACAAATTTTAGTACATCCATAGAAAGGAATACTACCCACCAAAAGGAATAAACAATCAGTATATCCAACAACATAAAGGAATCTCAAAATAATTAGGTTCTAAGTGACAGAAGACAGACATAAGAGTAGCTTCTTCTGTATGATTTCATTTATTTAAAATTCTAGAAAATGCAAAGTAATTCTAATTCCACGAAGTACAGCAGTGTTTGATTGAAGACGTCAGAGATGTGGACAGAGGGAAGATTTACAAAGGAGCTTGAGGAGATTCTTGAGGGCAATGGATATATTCATTAATTTGATTGTGGTTATGGTTTCAAGTGTATATTCATACACCAAAATTTATCAAATTATATACTTAAATTGAATCAGTTTATTATATATCATATAACTCTGTAAGGTTAAAAAATGAAAGTGGTACTCTAAGTTTATGGGTCTCAAGGTTTGTGAAAGATGTTTTAGATAATTTTATAAACTTAGCTAATATTTTTATAATTTATAATTGTGTCTACACATTTCAGATGCAAGAGAATTCACTGCAAACTTTCTTTCATCTCCTCTCTTTTCTCACCTTGGATTAAGTCCTATTAGACACACACTATAAAAGCTCAGTGTAACTTCTGGTGGTTTAGATAGGTTTTATAATTACTGATCCCTGCTGCAGCTGTACATGACAAGCTTGAATTAAACAGAAGTACTTCTGACACTTTCTAATCTAAAGCCAACACAAAGTCTCATTTTTCCAATATACGATGACAGCCCAAGACCACACATATCTGTCATAATGGAAATGAGAAAAACTGAACTATTAAAGTGAAAACATTTTCAGACTGGGTAAAAAAAAAAAAGTTTCTGTCTATAAGAAATACATGCACATCAAAGTCATTTAGAAAGAACGGAAACAAAATGGAAGAATTATACTAGGAAAATACACACACACAAACACACAGGGAAACTAAAAGTTGGATATTCGTATCAACTGGGGTTTCAAAAGAAAAACTGAGATAACAAAGGGCAACTGATAACAATAAAATGTGAACTTTTTATAAAATTTGATGTATTAAATAGTATAATACCATTTTTCAAAATGCAATCCTCCCAAAAATAGAACAGAAAGTACAATAATATATTAAGGTACTTCTAATTCACCTTTTTCATCTCATAGAAAATTAGGTACATAATCAAAATAAGTAACAATATGGGGAAGAATTTTTCAAAGTGCAAATTTTGCAACAAACTTCCCTAGGATTCTTGTAAAAGAAAATTCATTTCAAGTCTCTACTCTAGACTATGAAACCAGGTTTTCTGGGAGTGGTACCCAGAAATCACCATTTTTGCAAGCATCTTAAATGATTTTTATGCATTGAGCATATAAATTATATACTTAATAAGAAAATACTAACACATTTACATATAAGTATTGCAGTCAACAGAATATATAATTTCTAATCCAGGGACAAATAAATGTTTATAAAAATGGACCAGAAAGTGTATTAAATTTTTAAAAAGTAGAAATAGTAAAGGCTACACTCATTTCAATCATTAAAAAAAGAAAGAGAAAAGCTATAAATAAATGTTTTTAGAAAAGAAGGAAACAACACCTTGACCAGCTGAAAATTGAAAGTTTTCTCTTAATATGGGCCAAAGAGATAAACCAAAGTGTAGAAAGTTTTAGAAAATAAAATGGGGGTGATGTACACATTAGAACCTATGGAATGTGATTAAGTAGAGCTCAAGAGATATTCATAACCCTAAACATTTAATTACTATGCAAGAAAGAATAATAGCAAATAAATTCAGAGCTCATTTTAATAAATTAGGAATATAACAGCAAAATAAAACCAAGTAAAAGAGAAGAAAACAATTATAAAAATTAGAGATTAATGGACTTAAGCTAATTTATATTATATATAACAACATAATAAACACTAGAGCTGCTTCTTAAAAAATAGGAAAGTTAATAGCTGACATGCAATCAAGAACAAAAGATTACATATTCTCTACTTCCATTTATAAAATATCAGTGGTTCCTGGACCTGGAGGTAGGAACAGGAATTAATTGCAAATGAACACGAGGACACTTTTTTGGGTAATCGTTAAACATGAATTGAAATGTATCAATTTACTAAAATTCATCAAACTGTATATTTAAGATGAATAACAAATGTTATGTTTTATATCTTATTTTTACCTCAATAAACTGCTAAAAATACATATTTGTATAGATCTCACTACAGCAATAGAAAAGGTGTAATACCTAAAAATAATGAAGGTGCTATTTTGTGAAAGACAGTGACTAAGACTTGGATGGATAAAAAGATATGACTTGTTCTTGGAGAAGAGAAAGAATGTAAAATACCCTTGAGTTTATCTGTACATTTAACGCAATATCAACAAATAAAACAGAGTAAAATATTAATTAAACAAATCACATTTAATTGGACAAAATCTGATTATTCAGTGGATAGTTGGGATGGCCACTAAAAGAGGGATAAAAAATAAGAGCCTATTTCACTCTCAACACCTTAACATACACTCAGTGGAAAAAAGAAGGAAAATATTTTGTGTAATTTAAAGTACAGAGGGTAACTTTTCTAGAGAGCACACATAACCCAGAAACCATGACGAAGGAAATGGATGAAACTGACTACATAAAAATTAAAAATGCATTAATGGTAAAGACACACACATACACACACACAACAAACTATTTAAAAATCCAACATTTTTGACAAAGATATAATTCTATTGTTGTAGAAATAACTCTTTAAAATTCCACATCTAATGTATCAATAAAACTTGTTGGCTCTATTGCCACCACATATTTAGCACCTGAGCATTTCTTATCACCTTACACTGCGGCCCTGAGTCTGTAACCATCACATCTTACCTAGATTATTTCAATGGCCTTCTAATTGATCTATCTCTGCCCTTGTTTACTTCCAAGTGATTCTCAAATAGCAGCTAATGTAATCCAGTTAAAACTATAACACTTCTGCTCAAAAACCTCCAATAACTTCCCATTTTAAATGGCTGTCAAGCTAACAACTAGCTGCATGAGCTTAGAAGTGCCTTCTCTAGTTCCAGTCAGTCCTTCAGATGACTGCATTTTCAACTAACACCTGCACTACAACCTCATAGTAAATCCTGAGCCAGAACCACCAAGCTAAAACCCTGAGCTGCAGAAACCATGAGACATAAGTGTCTTCTAAGACTAAGTTTTAAAGTAACTTATTACACGGTAATATATAACTAATACAGAGCCTCTCAATCTACCTTTCATGTCTTATCTCTTCTTGTACAGTTTGCATCCCTGTATCTGGAAACTACATTATGGGCAAATTCATTCTATACTCTGGTTAGAATCTATTTGGCTGACTGAATTTTCATTTCAATAATGATATTTCTCATAGACATTGCTCCTTCTTCTTTTCTTCCTTGTTTCAAGTTTTCTGATTCTTTTTTAGTGAAGTGATACTTTCATTTGGGCCTTTGATCATCTTCAAAATAGTTATTCTAAACTTTTTTCAGGAACATAGTTATAATATTAATTTCATCTGGATTAATTTCAACTGCTAATTATTTATTGTATTGACTGCCTTTTTGACTTTGAGGATCTTCATTTTTAGCCTCATTTTTTGTGAGAAGTGTTTTTGTTATTATTGTCTGTTTGCTTAACATATGTTCACTCTTCCTTTTCTTGTCCTTCCCTCCCTTCCACAAAACTAGTTTTATGGTTATCTCTACCCAGGCTTTTGAGCTACTGATTCAGAACCAGGCTTAGGGTGTGATTTTCATGGTAAAGGCCCCATAATACCAAGAATACTGTAGATCAAGCCATAAAGCCAGTAATGGCCTTTATTCAAGATTATTTCTGAGAAATTGTGGCCATATCTTCCTGCCTCTTTGGACTTTCAGCTTGCAGCTGCTAAAGACCTGGGCATCACAAAAAGAATAAAATACTTAGGAACACAGCTAACTGGGGAGGTAAACGATCTCTACAAGAACTCAAACCATTGCTCAAAGAAATCACAGATGACACAAACAAATGGAAAAACATTCCATGCTCATGGATAGGAAAAATCAGTGTCATTAAAATGGTCATACTACCCAAAGCAACTTATAGATTCAATGCTCTTCCTATTAAGCTACCATTGACATTCTTTACAGAACTAGAGAAAACTATTTTAAAAGTCATAAAAGAGCCTGTATAGCCAAGGCAATCCTAAGTAAAAAGAACAAAGCTGGAGACATCACTTTGCCTGACTTCAAACTATACTGCAGCGCTACAATAACTAGAACAGCATGGTGCTGGTACAAAAACAGATACAAAGACCAATGGAACAGAATAGAGAACCCAGAAATAAGGCCACACACCTACAACTATCTGATCTTTGAAACAACTGACAAAAACAAGCAATGGGGAAAGGATTCCCTATTCGATAAATGATGCTGAGATAACTGGTTAGCCATATGCAGAAGATTTAAACTAGACCCTTCTCTTACACTATTTACAAAAATTAACTCAAGATGGATTAAAGACTTAAATGTAAAACCCAAAACTATAAAAAACCATGGAAGACAACCTAGACAATACCATTCAGGACATAGGCATGGTCAAAGATTTCATGAAGAAGATGCCAAAAGCAAATTGCAACAAAAGCAAAAATTGATAAATGGAATCTAATTAAACTAAAGAGCTTCTGCACAGCAAAAGAAACCATCAACAGAGTAAACAGACAATCTACAGAATGGGAGAAAATTTTTGCAAGCTATGCATCTGACAAAGGTCTAATATCCAGCATCTATAAGAAACTTAAACAAATTTACAAGAAAAAAAAAACAACCCCATTAAAAAGTGGGCAAAGGACATGAACAGACACTTTTAGAGGAAAACATGCATGTGACTAACAATCATTTGAAAAAAAGCTCAACATCACTGATCATTAAAGAAAAGCAAATCAAAACCACAATGAGATACCATCTAACACCAGTCAGAATGGCTATTACTAAAAAGTCAAAATAACAGATGCTGGCGAGGTTGTGGGGAAAAAGAAACATTTATACACTGTTGGTGGAGTATAAATTAGATTGACCATTGTGGAAGACAGTGTAATGATTCCTCAAAGATCTAAAGACAGGAATACCATTAGATCCAGCAATCGCATTTGGGTTACATCCAAAGGAATATAAACCATTCTGTCACAAACACACATGCACATGTACATTCATTGCAGCACTATACACAATATCAATGACAAGGAGTCAACCTAAATGCCTTCAATAGTAGACTGCGTAAAGAAAATGTGGTATATATACACCATGGAATACTATGCAGCCGTAAAAAGGATCAAGATTATGTCCTTTGCAGGGACATGGATGGAGCTGGAGGCGATTATCCTTAGCAAACTAACACAGGAACAGAAAACCAAACACCATATCTTGTCACTTACAAGTGGGAGCTAAATGATGAGAACACATGATATCATAGAGGGGAACAACACACACTGGGACCTGTCAGTGGGTAAAGAGTGGAAGGAAGGAGAACATCAGGAAAAATAACTAATGGTACTAAGCTGAATAACTGGGTCATGAAATAGTCTGTACAACAAACCTCCATGATACATGTTTACCTACGTAACAAACCTGCACATGTACCCCTGAACTTAAAAGTTAAAAAAAAAAAAGACCTGAGCATCACTTCAAAGCAGTTTTTTTTCAACTTCTTATGTGTTGAGGGTTTCACATAGCTCCAATCCAGCACCTGGATTTAAGCAACGGGCATGAGCCAGCCATCTCAAGTGGAGTCCTTTAGGTTCCTCTTATTCCTCAGAAGCTCAAGTCTTAACCAATAAAAAGAGACTAGTCAGAAAAAATAATACATAAAACTGTCATAATCGATGTTTATGGTTCTTCCTGAAGATAAGATGCTTAGAAATAAGTCTGTGCTTACTGAGAGCATAATTTCATGCCTCCCAAGTAATCCTCTCAAATTATGCTAGAGAGAGCCTTTTTCATAATCCACACCTGCTGCAGGGGGCTCTTAAAAACGTCAAAATTCAAATCAGACAATTTTCTTTTTCTATGAACAATGCAGTGCCACATGCAATTCCCTTACAATTTATATGAGCATATTCTCTGTAGATAAGGACTTTTTCAAGCATAAGAGAAAGTACATTTTTTTCTTGCCTAGATTTCACAAGTCTTACTTATGGTCTTATATTAAAGTGTGTTTACAAGATCCATCACAGTTCTGCATAGTTATCATACTTTCACACTTCAATGCAGAGAGTTCTGCATTCCATCACTTGCCTTTGTTCATTCATGTGTCCATCGGTTTTCGTCTTTGAATTAATCTTCCTTTACAAGATGAGTAATGAGATTTTAGATGACATTGCAAAATATTAGAAGGAGTTCCTATATGTGAGGAAATTTTGTGTATGTGTGTGTGTGTGGGGGTATCAATGAGAAAATATGTCATTCTCAACAGTGGTTTCAATTAAATACTTGAAGTCTTGAAAGGTGAGCCTAAGAAAATCCCCCAGAATGTTATGATGCCAAAGATAAGCTGAAGATCCAGCCATGGGAAGAAGTAATGGACTGGAAAATAAGCCCCTAGGTGGGGGTAAGTTCTTTTTGTCCAGCCTCACTGCTGACTTGTCTTTCATGGATAAATGGCTACAATACCCTGTTCAGTAGTTCCATTTGCTCATTCTTCTGAGCCTAGCTTCAATGGCATTTCAAGGCTATATATTTCTATTATTCTCACAACAGCAAAATAAGTTTTCTTTTCATATGCACTGCCACAATGCCTTATGTATACCTATATTTTAAGTACATTAAATTTCCTACTTAAATATATGATTACTCCTCAGGCTAAACTGACATCTCAGGGTCTAACTCCTGCAAAACTATCTGCAACAAGGCTGCCTGCTATGGGAAGCCTTCCCTGACTCTCCCAGGAACACTTAGATTCTCCTCTCCAGTGCTTCTGAAGAAAGGCAGGCAAGCCCCCAAATTGGGGCTTATCCCAGGAGAGTTCTTGGTTTCATCCAGGAAAGAATTCAAGGGTAAGCTGGTGGTGTTAAACAGCAATGTCTACTGAAGCAGCAGTGTACACCAGCAGAGATACTGCTCCTTGTGAAGCAGGGCTATCTCATAAGCAGTGTGCCCAGAGTAACAGCTCAAAGGCAGTTCTGCAGTCATATTTACGCCCACTTTTAATTACATGCAAATTAAGGGGCAAATTATGCTTTCTTTCCTGCATTAGCAATATTCCCAGAAAGATAGGCCAGTACCTGTTATTGTACATTGGCTGATTATTTGCTCCGTCTGAAGTTTTATTCCAGTTAAAGAAAATGAATCCTTCAAGAGATTTTTGCTAGTGCTGTTATTTTCTCAATATGTTCTTCCTGTCCAAGATAAGTGTAACACCATCTTTACTTTTCAGTCATGCCATACAGTAAGAGCCATGCCATCTATATATTGAGAATGGCCTGGTAAGGGGCTGAGAACAAACGACAATTGGATACCTAAGTTGCAACTCACCAAGATATTTCAAGGAAAACTTGATGACAATTTGAACTTGATTTTTCATTTTACATAATGCAGCATGGATACCTTAGATGCTACTAACCATGGACATTTCAAGGACAACTTAATTTGAACTTGATTCTTCATTTTACATAATACAATATATCTGTAGTTCTCTCTAAAATAAGGTTGGCTCAAAGGTCTAGATCCAGGAAGAAACAGCTGCTTTTATTGAGAAAATATGCTGCATCCAGAGGCAGAAAGGCAAGTGCTATGGTTTGAATGTGTTCCCCACAGTTCATGTGTTGGAAACTTAATCCCCATTGCAACAGTGTTGAGAGGTGGGACTTTTAGGAGGTGATTAGGTCATAAGGGTTCTGCTCTCATAATTGGATTGATGTTATTATCAAGAAAGTGGGTTAGTCATTACAGGAGTAGATGCCTGATAAAAGAATGAGTTCAACCCCTTCTCTTGCTCTCTTTCCTGCCCATGTAATGATTTTCATTATGTTATGACACAGCAAGAAGGGCCTCACCAAATGCATGCCCCTGGACCTTGGACTTTCCAGCCTCTAGAACTATAAAAAGTAAATCTCTATTTTTTATCAATTACCCAGTATCAAGTATTCTGTTATAACATTACAAAATAAACTAAGACAGCAAGCATCAAGAATCTTTCTTATAATGGCTGCAACTGCAGACCAATATGCACAACATGTGGTCATAAACATGCAAAAAGGACTTGCTGTCATGAATTGCTAGGCTTTTAGTCATCCATACACTGTGACACATAATTTCAAAGGCCACACTAGCTATTTTCTCAGCTACCAGAAAACATATCATGCTTTCTATAAAATTACTGTCATCATCATTATTAATGTTATTGTTAGTCAGAGGTTTGCAATGGACCAGAAATGGAAACTGACAAAAGGATTCTCATCTTCAAAGTCACACAAACATACACACACACACACACACACACACACACACACACACTGTTAATAGTCTCTGTTAATGCTACTTACTGATCTGTCATTACAGGAATTTTCCCAATATGATGGGCAAAAGTAAAATAATTCAAGTGACAGAAACAAGCTTCAGTTGTTTAATCATGGATTATAAAGAATGAAATTTATATATGAATATATAATTACTGCTACTTCACTAGTTATATAAAGTCCAAATTGAACCTCACTCAAGGAAATTTAATAATGAAAGTTCAAAGCAATTTTTATCATATGCTGTCTATGTCAAGACCTTAGATTGAAAGCAACAGAAATCAAGTGTAGCTTGAGCAAAAAAAAAAAAAGTTGAGTAGAAAGATAAGAAACATTAACAGTAAGAATGGATAAATATGCTTAGAAGTGGGTAAGAACAAAACCAGAAACTATAGTCTTATAGCAGAAACAATTTGGTCAAGTCACTGCCAGAACGAATGTATTCCTACCAAGATGCAAATTTCAGGAAGGAAGCAACTAATTGACTGTGTCAAATGCCTGCCCCTTGGCTAAGAAGGTCAATGCACACGCTTAACATTTCCATCAAATTGTACCCAATAAGGATGACATGACGCTATTCCCTGAAAGTAAATTAGGATGCTTTGGGGTAAAGGAAATAGATACTTAATCAACAACAAAAAAATCAATTGAATCCAAAAAGAATAAAATAATAAAACCGCTGTTCATATGTACTATTGTTTTTTCATTGGCAATTCCATTACTGAATCAAATTGGGGACATGAAAGTTTATTTAACATTCACTTAATAAATTTAGGACATTCTGAGTTTTTCCAGTGATGCATCTACTATCTAATTAACAGCTAGGGATAATTAATGATGTTGACATTTATAACCCTCATTTGTGTCACCAATTCCTGCATCATACTAATTGGCATTTAGAGCCACAGGAAACATGTTTTCGAACTGAACACTGACACCATCATGCTGATGCAGTTTTTTTGAACTCAAAGACCCATTGTCCTGTTGACATATTAGTATGATTTTTAATTGCATTTGTTTAGAGGGATTACTCTGAATACATGAGAACTTTGAATAGGTACATGTTATGTCTACTTTTACAGTTAGAAGTTATAAGCGTGAGTTCGCTCCCTAAGGTACTTTTCAATATTTTTGTAAAGTAAATATGTAACAAGCATGACCATGTGTACATTTGGGTTTAGTAGCAGAAGACTGTTCAGTACTCTAAATTTAAGAGAAAAAAAATACACCTTGCTGAAAAAGTGCATAACTAAGAACACTACACTCCTGAGCCAAAGAGTGTATATTGTGCCCCCTTTTTTACAAAATTACAAAATAAACTGACACTTGTACTCTTTAACATGTTGAGTTTATTAGATAGTATTTGGGTTTATGGGAAGAGAGAGGAAACAGATTGAGGAAGGGAGGGACAAAGGAGAGGTGACAAGAAAGAACAGAAAAAGGAGAGAGAGTAAGGGCTCTCTCCTCTTCCTGTCGCTTCTGTCCTCTTTCACACAAGGACCAAATAAATAATTACTCTTCAACAATCTAAGTGACTCATCTTCAGTCACAGGTGCTTCACTCCAACCACCATTAGATTCAGCAAATTTAGATGATTTGCTGAAATGCCTAATAGATATAAACACAGTATTTTTCGGAGCTTCCAAAGGTCAACAATATGTCCATACTTTTATATCAGTTACAGAATATAGTTTCTTACTAGTTCTAACAAACCTCAAGGTTTTTTTCTTTTTCTTCTTGTTTTCTAAAGGAAGTGAAGCAAGATAGCCAAATGGAACTCTCTGGCAGTCATTCCCCACAGGAAGAACACCAAATCGAAAAACTATCTGCATAAAAAAGCATCTTCATAGAACCAAAAATCAGGTGAGTGATTACAGTGCCTGGTTTTAACATTACAGCAAGGGAAGAGGCACTGAAGTGGGTAGAGAAGACCATACTGAATTGCCAATGCAACCCTCCCTGATTCCCCAGCAGCGCCATGCAGTGTGAGAGAATCTGTGTGCTTGGGGGATGAAGAGAGCAGTGATTGTGGAACTTTCCATTGGAACTCAGAGCTGACAGGTCACAGTGAAAAGGAACACAGAGCAGAATTCAGCCAGCACCAAGGGAGGGAGGATTTAGACCTGACCTAGCTAGACAGGAATTGCCCATTCCAGTGGTCAGAACCTGAGTTCCAGCTGGGCCCACCACTGTGGGCTAAAGTGCTCTGGGGTTCTAAATAGATTTCAAAGGCAGTCTAAGCCACAAAAACTGCAATTCCTGGGCAAGTCCTGGTGCTGTGGTGGGCTCAGAGCCAGTGGACTTGGGGTGCATGCAACTTAGTGAAACACCAACCAGGGGAGCGTAGGGAGTGCCCCAGGCAGGGCAGCTCACAGCACCAGGAGAGACTCCTTCCTTCTGCTTGAAGAGAGGAGGAGAATAAAGAGGACTTTGTGTTGAAACTTGGATACCAGCTCAGCCACAGCAGGATAAGGCACCAGGCAAACTACTAAAGCACCCATTCCAGACCCTAGCTCCTGGATGACATTTCCAGACATAACCTGGGCCAGAAGGGGACCCACTGCCTTAGGATCCAGTCCTGGCATGATCCATAACCTGCTGACTAAAGAACCCTTAAGACTTGAATAATCATCAGCAGCACCCAGGCAGTACTTGCTGTTGGCCTTGGGTGAGACCCAGTACTGTCCTAGCATCAGGTATGACCAAGCACATTCCCAGCTGCGGTTGCCAGAAGGAGAGACTCTTCCTTGAGAAAAGGAGAGGGAAGAGTAAAAGGTACTTTGTCTTGCAGCTTGGGTACCAGCTCAGTCACAGTGGATCAGAGCACCAAACAGGCTCCTATGGCCCCCAGTTCCAGGTCTTGGCTCCTGGGCAGCATCTCTGGACCTACCCGATGCCAGAGCAGAGCCCACTGCCCTGAAGGGAGAGACCTAGGCCTGGCAGCACTTATCATATGCTGTCTGAAGAGCCCATGAGCGTTGAGTGAATCTCAGAGGTAGCCAGGCAGTATGTGCTGCAGGCCTGAGGCAGTGGTGGCCATAAAAGAGGCTCCTGCTTGAGAAAAGAAGAAGAAAGAATGGGGAGGAGTTCGTCATGTGGCTTGGGTACCAGTTCAGCCATGGTAGAATACAGCACTACTTAGATTCCTACGGTCTCTGACTCCAGGCCATGGCTCCTGGATGGCATTTCTAGACCTGCCCTGGGCCGGGGGGAGCTTGCCACCCTGAAGGGAAGGGCACAAGCCTGGCTGGATTTCCCATCTGCTGACTGAAGAGCCTTCAGGCTTAAGTGAACATCACTGCTAATCAGGCAGGGGTAGCCACAAGCCTATGGTAGGACCAGTGCTCTGCTGGCTTCAGGTCTGACTGAGCAGAGTCCCAGTGGCAGTGGCCTCTGGGATGCTTGAGTCACTCTTCCCCCAGCTCCAAGCAGCTAAGCATAGAGATATGGACTCCACTTGTTTGGGTGAAAGGTATGGAAAAGAACAAGAGTTTCTGCCTGATAATCCAGGGAATTCATTCTGATCTTATCCAAGATCACTAAGGCAACAAGGTCTTTATGAATCTGCAAGAGTCACAGTGTTCCTGGGCTTGGGGTGCCCCCTAATGCATATACAGCCCCAGTAACCAAAGAGTTAGATCACAACACTCAAAACCCTTTGACTACTGGGAAAGCCTTCCCAAAAAGAATGGGTACAAACAAGCCCAGACTGCAAATATTACAATAAATGCCTAACTCTTCAATGCCCAGACAACAACAAACATCCACAAACATCAAGAACATCTAGGAAAACAGTCTCCCCAAATGAACTAAATAAGGCACCTGTGACCAATCCCAGAGTGACAGTGATACATGGCATTTCAGACAGGGAATTCAAGGTATCTGTTTCGAGGAAGCTCAAAGACATTCAAAATAACACAGAGAAGGAATTCAGAATCCTATCATAAATTTAACAAAGAGATTGAAATAATTTTTAAAAATCAAATAGAAATTCTTGAGCTGAAAAATTCAATGGGCATACTGAAGAATGCATCTGAGTCTCTCAACAGCATAACTGATCAAGCAGAAGAAAGAATTAGTGAGCCTATTTAAAAATACACAGAGGAGAAAAAATAATAAAAAAGAATGAATCATGCCCATGAGATTTAGAAAATAGCCTCAAAAGGGCAAATCTAAGAGTTATTGGCCTTAAAGAGGAAGTAGAAAAAGAAATTGGGATAAAAAATTTATTCAAAGTGACAATAAATTTTTTAAACTTCCAAATCTGGAGAAAGATATCAAGATTCAAGTACAAGAAAGTACTAGGACACCAAGGAGATTTAACCCAAATAAGACTACCTGAAGACATTTAATAATCAAACTTCCAAAGGTAAAGGATAAAGAAAGGATACTAAAAGCAACAACAGAAAAGAAACAAATAACATATAATGAACCTCCTGTACATCTGGCAGCAAATGTGGCCTCCTACCGGCCAGGAGGGAGTGGTATGATATAGTTAAAGTAGTGAAGGAAAAATCTTTTATTCTAGAATAGCATATCCAATCCAGTGAAAATATCCCTCAAACATGAAAGAGAAATTAAAAACTTTTCCCAAACAAAAGCTGAGGGATTTCATCAGCACCAGACTTGTGCTACATGAAATGCTAAAAGGGGATCTTCAGTCTGAAAGAAAAGGACATTAATGAGCACTAAGCAATCATCTGAAGGTGCAATCACTGGTAACAGTAATTACACAGTTTATACCCAATTTTATAACACTGTAATTATGGTATGTAAACTACTCATATCTTGAGTAGAAAGACTAACAATTAACCAATAAAAAATAATAACTATAACAACTTTTCAAGACATAAACAGTATAATAAGATATAAATAGAAATGACAAAAAGTTAAAAAGTGGGGGATGAAGTTAGAGTGTTTATTAGTTCTCCTTTTGCTTGTTTATTAAATTGTTTGATTTTTTCAGTGCTATTATCAGTTTAAAATAATGGGTTATAAGATGTTATTTGCCAGTCTCATGATAACCTCACATCAAAAAACCTAGAACAGATACACAAAAAATAAAAAGCTAGAAATTAAAATGTACCACCAGAGAAAATCACTTTCACAAAGAGGAAAACAAGAAGGAAGGAAGGAAGAGAAGGGAAGGGAAGGGAAGAGGAGGGGAGGGGAGGGGAGAAAAGGAGGGAAGGTGTGAGGGAGGGAGGAAGAAAAAAACGTCACCAAATAATTAGAAAAAACTAACAAAATGGCAGGAGTAAGTCCTTACTAATCAATAATAACATTGAATATAATAAACTAAACTTGCCAATCAAAAAAATAGAGTGGTTGAATGGATTAAACACACACACACACACACACACACACACACACACACACACACACACACACAAGACCTAGTGATCTGTTGCCTACAAGAAACACATTACCTATAATGGCACACACAGACTGAAAATAAAGGGATTGAAAAAGATGGTCCATGCAAATGGAAATCAAATAAAAAAGAACAGGAGTAGCTAAGCTTACATCAGACAAAACAGATTTCAAGACAAAAACTATAAAAAGAAACAAAGAAAGTCATTATATAATGATAAAAGGGTCAATTCAGCAAGAGGATGTAACAATTGTAAACATATATGCACTCAATACTGGAGCACCCATATGTATGAAGCAAACATTATTAGAGCTAAGAGAGATAGGCCCCAATACAATAATAGCTGGCGACTTCAATACTCCACTTTCAGCATTGAACAGATTATACAGACAGAAAATCAGCAAAGAAACATCAGACTTATTCTGCACTACAGACCAAATGAACCTAATAGATTCTTATAGAACATTTTATCCAATGGCTGTACAACACACATATTTCTCCTCAGCACATAGATTATTCTCAAGGGTAGATCATGTGGTAGGCCACTAAACAAGTCTTTAAAGAGTTCAAAAAAATCGAAATTATATCAAATATCTTTTCTGATCACAATGGAATAAAACTAGAAATTAATAACAGGAACTTTGGAAATTATATCAACACATGGAAATTAAACAATGTACTCCTCAATGACTAGTGTGTCACTGAAGAAATTAAAAAGAAAATTGAAAAAAAATTTGAAACAAATAAAGATAGAAAAACACATACCAAAACCCATGGGAAACAACAAAAGCAGCCTTAAGAGGGAAATTTATAGCAATAAGTGCCTATATCAAAAAAGTAGAAAAACTTCAAATAAACAACCTAAGGATGCATCTTTAAAAAAATAGAAAAGCAAAGCAAACCAAACACAAGATTAGTAGAAAAAAAGAAATAATAAAGGTAAAAGCAGAAATAAATGAAATTGAAACTAAAAAAAAAATGCAATAGCTCAATGAAACTAAAATCAAAGATGAAAGAGACGTTATAACTGGCACTGCAGAAATTCCAAAGATCATTAGAAACTACTATGAGCAAGTATAGGCCAATAAATTGGAAAATCTAGAAAAAAATGGAAAAATTTTCAGTCACATACAACCTACCAAGACTGAACCATGAGAAAATCCAAAACCTGAGTAGACCAGTAACAAGTAATGAGATTAAAGCTGTAGTTAAAAAGTCTCCAGCAAAGAAAAGCCCAGAAAACAATGGCTTCACTGCCGCATTTTACCAAACATTTATAGAAGAACTAATACCAACTCTACTCAAACTATTCCAAAAAATAGAGAAAGGAAAACTTTGCATGTTCTCACTCATTTGTAAGAGCTAAAAATTAAAAAAAAAAAAAAATGAACTAGGAGATAGAAACTAGAAGGATGATTACCAGTGACTGAGAAGGGTAATTGGGGGCCGGGGAGAGGAAACTGGCGATGGTTAATGGGTACAGAAATATAGTTAGATAGAATGAATATGATCTAGTATTTGATAGCACAACAGGGTGATTACAGTCAACAATAATTTACTGTACACTTAAAAATAACTAAAAGAGTATAATTAGAATGTTTGTAATACAAAGAAAGGATAAATGTTTAAGGCAGTGGACACTCCATTTACTCTGATGTGATTATTATGCATTGTATGACTGTGTCAAAATATCTCATGTATGCCATAAATATATATACCTACTATGTACATACAAAAAGTTAAAAATATTAATAAAAATTTTTAAAGACCTCAATGTGGATGAATATAAGGACTAATCTGGTCAGATCCCCTAGTCCTTGGAAACCTGACTCTCTGACATTCATTGAGAGGTAATCACACTAGTCCATGGCAGCTATCACCATTCCCAGCCCTTCTCTGTGACATCACATTTCCTCCCAACTCCTCCTTCATAGCTGATGCAGATAATTTTTCACTCACTTCCTTCAGTGCTCATTTCTACTGGCCTTCCTCCCTCCTGGACCATCCGATAGTCCCTGAAGGGGACTGTTTCAAGCCCAAGATTTGAGGCCTGTTCCATCAGGACCCTATTGAGAAACAGATGAAATGCTCAAATTAGAGTAATTCAAGAATGAGTTGCCAGGCATGGTGGCTCAAGCCTATAATCCCAGCACTTTGGGAGGCTGAGGCAGGCAGATTATGAGATCAGGAGTTCAAGACCAGCCTGGCCAACATAGTGAAACCCCGTCTCTACTAAAAATACAAAAATTAGCCAGGTGTGGTGGCACTGAGGATTGCCAGCTACTCAGGAGGCTGAGGCAGGAGAATCACTTGAACCTGGGAGGCAGAGGTTGCAGTAAGCCAAGACCGCGTCATTGCACTCTAGCCTGGGTGACAGAGTGAGATTTCGTCTCAAAAAAAAAAAAAAGAATGCGTTAATGAAGACATAAGTGCAGTTCCCAGATCAGCATCAGCATCACTTGTTAGGAGTACAAATGCTCAGGCTTCACCCCGCGACCTACTGAATCAAGTGGTTTTAACACTCAAGAACCACTGTTGTAGGAAACCACAAGAGAAAGTACAGGGCCCAGGGGCTAAAGAGCTAGTTACTGCCCTTAGGCCTGGATATAGTACAGAGAAGGTCACCTTCAAGGAGCTGTAACCTTTGGATCAGGAATGCAGCTAATCTGAGAAGACTTACATTGACAAAATTGGGGTAATAAATGCCCCAGCTTCACTCTCCTTCCCCCTTCTGATCTCCTGCTAGGGCTTCCCATTGGAGAAACCTAACTGGAATCCAAGGATAAAGCAGTCCCCTTATGCAGTCTATACAGGTCAGCCTCTTAAGGGACAGAGCACATCTGGAGAGGTCAGTAGATTATATCTGATACCCAGGCAATTCCAGGCTCATCTCATCTCTAGCTGGCCTCACTCACAAAACCTCATCCATTATGCTATTTACAGGGTTTATTAACCACATACTCCTATGTATTCTTCGATCAACACTAATATTCAGCTGAAAAGATCCACAGTGGTTTCACTGTTGCTATAGTCAGGCAGCTTAAACAAAGACAGATAGATATGAGGAATGTGATTATACTGTGATGTAAAGCACCACTAAGGAGAAAAGGACTGTCTCCGTTCAAAGAGGCCCCCCAAAATCGGTACATATTTCCTAATATTTTCTTATTTATCCATAATCAACCCCCAACATCCCTCCACCCCTGAGAGAACACATGGAAGAAAAAGGGAGCCGTGGGCCTAGTAGCTTCCACCAAGGAACCATTAGGGAAACATAATTCACACAAGGACAACATCGTGTTTTACAGCTCAGATGCCAAAACGTCCTTAGCAGCTACTGAATGAATCACTGGGTGTCTTTCACCTTTCCCTGGATACAAAATTAATTTTTCTAAATCCTTAATCATCTGTTCTGGCAATATTCCAAAGAAGAGCCTTCCCCAGCAGCACTTAGGCTAATTAACTACCTTGGGTTTTACCTATTTAGGCATTCAAATTACTCCTTTTGTAACAGATATTTTGCTTGCCAACATTTTTTTTTTTTTTTTTTTTTTGAGGCGGAGTCTCGCTCTGTCGCCCAGGCTGGAGTGCAGTGGCGCGACCTCGGCTCACTGCAAGCTCCGCCTCCCGGGTTCACACCATTCTCCTGCCTCAGCCTCCCGAGTAGCTGGGACTACAGGCGCCCGCTACCACGCCCGGCTAATTTTTTGTATTTTTAGTAGAGACGGGGTTTCACCGTGTTAGCCAGGATGGTCTCGATCTCCTGACCTCGTGATCCGCCCGCCTCGGCCTCCCAAAGTGCTGGGATTACAGGCGTGAGCCACCGCGCCCGGCGTGCTTGCCAACATTTAATTCTTCATATCCAATGGTAAAACTGATACGGGCCATTAATCTCTAATGCTTTTCCACTAAGGAGATTGTAATTCAATTCTAAAAAAATGTTTTAAAATGTGTCTCTTTTCATAAAAGCCTAGGGATTCTTTTCCTTTTTATTTTCCCTCAACTCTCTAAAAAAAGAAATTAAAATAATTTTCTCATATTCTCTTAATAGAAAATTGCTTTCAACCACCAATCTGTCTTAATGCTGAGCCATATGGACTGATGCCTGTGACTTGAACCATGGAAGAACTGTTCATGGTAACATGAACCCAAGGAAGCGTGTGACTTTCATCACACAGAGCTCAGGTTGCCTGATTTCCTGGTCTTTTCTTTGATTCCACCATATCTTTGTGCTTTCACACACACGTCTAATTAATCCCCAAATCCTGTTAATTTTATCTTCTAAATTTTGGAGAAAAATCTAGGTGATAAAATTGTACCCTCCTGCCAACTAACCACCTGTGTCTTGATTTAAGCTTTACTATCCCTCCCCTGAGCTGTAACATCCACTTTCTGGCTGGCCCCATACTCCAGTTTGTTCCCACTCAATTCCATTTCCACCAAAATGACCTTTTCAAGCTCAAATATGGTATGTAGCTTTCCTACTTAAAACTCCTTAATCGTGCCTCACTGCCTACAGGAGACAGTCCAGACTCACTAATAAAGCACACGAAGTCCTCCAAGGCCTGTTATGCCCAATTCCACATTCTTATTTCCCTATCAAAGCCTGCATCACATCATATGCTAATTCCCCAGGCACAGCATGCACTTTTACACCTCCATGTCTTGGTTCATGCTGTCCCTTCATCTGGAACATCTTCTTCCCACCCCCTTTGTCTTTGCCTATCTCCTTTCATGCTTTAAACTCATCCCCAAATCTCACCCTCACTCCCAGTGCCAGGATCCTAGAAGTCCCTCTTCATACTGCTCCAACCCGTGTGCATGCACTTAACTCTGTCCTTACCTCTTAACATTGCCTCTGTCCTTGCACTTAACATAAGCTGTATTAATCTGGAATTATCTGGAAAAGTTCATTTTCTCTACTTATGGGCAGAAATTATGACTTCATCTTCTTTGTGTGCCCATGGCCCGAAAATACCTGAATAAGTGCTCGTTGAATAAATGTAGGAACTATTGTGAAATAGCATATTTCCCATAAGCTTCAAGGTTCTTTGCTGCTGCTGCCCCAACATGTCCATTATGTGGTTCACATATTGGTAAAAATATAAAATGGGCATGATCCTACAACTGAGAGTTTCTCACTTTGGGTAGGGCAGATACAAAAAAACTACTTTTACCTAAATACAGTGTTAAGGTTAGAATAGAGTAGTTTATATTGAGTGTGATCTTTGCTTCGAGTAAGGGAGAAAAGAGAATAATTACCATGAAATTTCATAAACTCTGCACAGGAAAGTCATCTCATCCAAGTCCCAGTCACCAGAAAAAGAATGAAGCCATCTTAGCTAGTCCAGGCCTCTCTTTATCTTTTAGTCACCTTGCCATGGAGGCAAATCGAGGTCTAGATTGAGGTAACTCAGCTCCTTACACTATGCGGTTGTTCCAGCATGAGCCACTTCTTCCTGCTTACTTCCATGAACGGGCAGGTAGCAAAAGTATGAAAGCCAGTAGGCTCATTTTGGTAGCAAAAGCAGCAGGAGCCAATGGCCCAACCCCAGGAAGTCCATGAATTATTCTCTACGTTTAACTCCATAACAGCATCCACCGTCATTATCGACGCATCTCAGGAATCATCAGGCACCATCCAGTTTGCTGGATGCCCTGAGACAGTCAGTCCCTGAGTGAAGGAGCGGAGCTAGAAGAGGAAAAGTACAGACAGCCTTTAGGATGTGTAAATGAAGTGAGTCATTTAGTCAGGGGGGTGAGAGGGGTTGGGGTTTTAAAAAAAAGAATATAAGGAAAATTTGTTATATGATTTGTGGCCAGCACAGTCCAGAGGAGGAAGGTAGCACTTTTACTAAACAGAGGGGATGGCTTCCTGGCCATAAAGACTGAACTCACCTTCAGGACCTCTCTGTTCTTCCAGCTTGGCCTAGTGCTGGGTTTTGCTCCTTTCTGGCCTCCATATTGAATATGTGGTGGCTTTACCCTCAAGGGAGTAGGAACAGCCATGCAAGACAGGTTTTGTTTTTGTTTTTGTTTTTTAACTACTTTTTCTTTTCCCCCCTGAGACGGGGTCCTGCTCCGTCGCCCAGGCTGGAGTGCAGTGGCGCGATCTCAGCTCACTGCAACCTCCACCTCCCGGGTTCAAGCAATTCTCCTGCCTCAGCCTCTGGAGCAGCTGGGATTACAGGCGCCCGCCACCATGCCCAGCTAATTTTTTTATTTTTAGTAGAGACGAGGTTTCACCATGTTGGCCACGCTGTTCTCAAACTCCTGACCTCAGGTGATCCACCCGCCTCAGCCTCCCAAAGTGCTGGGTTTACAGGTGTGAGCCATGGTGCCCGGCAACTACCATTTTAAATTACTACAAAGTATTCTATATTCATTGCAAGAAATGTTTACTACAAATAAGTGGAAAAAATAAAACCTTCCATAATCACACAACTCAGCAATCAAAACATATTATAGGATAAAAACAGAATTATAGTACTTAGGAAACTTGCTTTTGTAAGTTAACAGTAAGTTATGCACATGTTGCCCATGTTGTGAAGTGTCCTTTTATAATGTCATTTTTAGTGGCTGAATATTATTTCATTGTGCAGATGTACCATAATTTATTTAACCAATTACAAATTGATAGACTTTTAGATTTATATCCAATTCTTCTTATTTTTAGCACTTGCATGATGAACATCTTTGTAGTAAAATGTTTACAATCTATAATTGCCCTAGAAGAAATTGCTGCCATAGAATTACTGCATCAAATATATAAATGTACTGATGCTATTTATATGTAAAGCTAAATTTCCCTGCAAAAAGTTTCACAAATTTATACTCTCACCTGCAGGAGATAAAGGTATGCATTTCCCAATTTCCCACAAAGAGTTTTTAAAAGAAAAGCAACTGAATATATTCTCAAAGCTCCTATGTAGAAACCAGTCTATTGATCACAGTTTATTTATCTGCTTGATTTCAATTCAACATTTATTGAGTACTTCTGTGCTGAGCAATATGGATAGAATCCACATGCTTAATGAGCCTAATAATGAATGTTCTACTCAACTTGGCCAAAATAGTCACATTGGCTGATATAGAAACACCTATACAAGTATTTTTAAATTATTTTAGGGTTAAGATTTCCATTTTGAAATCCTTCTTCTATAGATTATGATGTTTGTTTAGCCTCTAACTAAGAATTAATGACAAAGAGTTCACAACTGATCCAACACATGTCCAAACTGAGAGTCTTTAATCAGGGAAAGACCTTTATTGTATTAAATTTAAAATTTCTCTCTATAAATTCCACATATTGGTTCTGCTGTTACCTAGGGAAGAATCTATTTCCTCTTCAAATATGTTATCTGTTCTTCAAGACAAACAGCCCCAATTCCTTCCACATTCCTAATAAAACATTATTTCCAAAATCTTTCCACGATCTGGAATGCCTGTAATTATTTTGTGTTCCTTTTCCTACATCCTGGTGAATCTCTACTCATCCTTCATGGTTCAACGCAAATGTCACCTTTCTTGACACTTCACCCACTATATAATCTGTCCAGAATTAATTGCTTCCCTTTCTGTATTCCCACAGCATCATTTTGTACATATCTTTATTATAAGCCTTCACTACCCAATGTGGTAATTATTTGTTTGCATTACTGTCTTTATGACTCACCTGTGACCACTTTGAGGACAAAGTCTATGTCCAAAGCACCTGAAACCATACCTATTAGACATGGTACGTACTAAAAAATGTGTATTAAAATGAAACAGTAGGAGTTTATCATCTAGTACTAATCTGGTATCTAGTAACAAAAGTGAGACATGGATACAAATGACTACAAGTCATAAAACATAGAAGATGGTAAATATCATGAGATGATTACAATTAGGTTCTGTGTAAATGCAAAGATAAGGCATTTAAAAGATAAGAATGGTGGATATCCTTGAAAGCCAAACTGAGGACATTGTCTTCTCACCATAGACAATGTGAACACATTCTGAGCAGTGTGGGCAGAAAAGCTCAGAGGAAGGAGCAAGGGAAAAGTCCACTGACAAGCTATAAAGAGTATAAACCAGGATCAGTAATAGCATAGAAAGGATAAAAAAGGAAACCATTGGGAGAAAAGAGGCAATAGCATTTGGTCACAGATAACTTCTGGGTCAGGGAAGAAAGAGGAGGGAGGGAAATCCATCTGAGATATCCAGCTTGGGTAATTAGGATACTATTGCTACCCAAATGTAAATTAGTAACTCCAGAAGATGAAACTTGCAGATGTGGATTTATAGCCCATACACTGAGTTAGCTTTTTTTTTTAATTTGAAGGCTTTTAGAATTAGTATGTTATCTTCAACACACCACAATCCCCACTACTTTCTTTTGTCATGGACTCAGGCCATTTTACTTATTTATATTTCATACTTGGCCCCTGTAGGAATTTGATTTTATGATTCCTAGCAACAAAAATTAAAAAATCTATAATAGAATGAACTAGTTTAGGACAAACTGTGGTAGCTCAGTGGTTCCAAACATTTCTTTAGCATTACAATCCTTGATTAAATTAAATCTCCCTTAGAAGTCCCACGTATTTAAAAAAAAAAAAAAAAAGTTCTCCAGTTAGTAGAAGCACTAGAGCCCTCATTTTCACAACCATCAGTCCCAATCTCATTTGGCACTTAAGACATTCTCATGAACCTTAGGGACCTGGAAACCATAGTTTGAAAACCTCTGATATGAATGATAAATTGAGATTTATAGATATTGCTTTTGAGGTACCAACAGATCTACAGGTGAAAATGTTCAGCAAGCCACTGGGTAGAGACAACAGGAGACTGGGAGAGAGTTAAGGTCTGGATAAAGATTTGAGAACCATCTGGAAGAAGGTGATATTTGAAGCCATGGTAAATAAATGAGAAGAGTGAGAAAATAAGTGGGCAGGAAAATAAAAGAATACAGATAAGAATAGGCCTTTTGGGAATGCCTACATTTTTAAGGTGGGTGAGGAGGGAAAAATCAGCCCAGTAGACAGATGAATAATCTGACAAGTAGAAGGAGAATCTGAATAGTATAAAATATTAGAAATTAAGGTAGCAGTTTCAGGAAGAGAGGAGTGATAGAGAGTGTCAGATAAGCCGGGAAGGAAGATGGCATTGAGGAAAGGTAATCTGTTAGACCACTAACAGATGACTAAAACGATAGCACTACAAGAAGCAACTTCGGAATTATGGTGGAGACAACAGGCAGAGAGCAAATGGGATAAGGAGTGAACAGGCAGAGTGTTTACTCTCTTGAGACATTTGAAGGTCAAAGAAAAGATATAAATAGGTTGATAATGTGAAGACCTCACCAGGAATATGGAGAGGTTGCTAAGAAATATGTTAGGTGATAGTGGAAAACATTTTTATGGCAAGTGGATGCTTATATTTCTTTAGTTCAACCTGGCAGAAAAGTGAAGACATACCACAAGCTCCCCACAAGTGGTTTCTAAACTGTTGCAGGGGCAGTTGGCACTGAAGGGCTGGTGAAGTCTCCTCTAGGCTTGAGTGTCTGTGGCTGTGTATCGGGTACTGTCTTAAAGGAGATCTCCTCCCCAGTCAATCAATAAAGATTATATATCAATAGGGCAAGTGAGTTTGTTTTGCCTATGGGGAGACAGAGGAAAAGGAACCATCCCAAGATGATGACAGCATGTGGATCACCTTCAGGCTGGGAGGTATTCTTCTAGGATATACCAGATGTACCAATATCTGTTGTGACAATTTGGCTCTGCTCAATGTTGTAAGGTAATGGTCAGGGTTTCAATCCTGTGTAACAATACACATTTCTTTATTTGATCTGGAGTATATTACATCCAGGGCCAGTGGTCTTGTAAATGCTCACCACTGAATATGAATAAAATCAGTAGAAAGTGAGAATGTGTCTGAACAAATTATCCTATCATGAAAAGTAATTCAAAGTGATGCCGTAGTGGTGTGAGTCAGAAGAGACTCTTTCCTCTGTGAAGGACAATGCTTCTTATTGAAGCTAAGCCCAAAGAGAAATAAATTGGACTATAACACACAGATTTCAGAATCTTGAAAACATAATCACAGAGAATATAATGCTAAGAGTTTGATGATAAGAATTATAGCCACTAACATTTATGAATCCTTTATTATACTCCAGGCTCTTTACATACCTTGTCTCATTTAGTCCAAATAGAAATTACGTAAAGTAGAAATTTCCAATTTTACTTTTCATTTGAGGAAAGAAAGATTCACAAGGGCTAGGTAACTATCTAAGGTCACAGGGTCAATAAGTGACAGAGCAGGATTATAACTCACATATCTCTTATTTATATATTAGTGGTTCCCCAGCATTCTACACTGCCTGACAGTGATGTTAGTATAACCCTGTACTCCACATCTGCAGATTGACTGAGAGAACCCCATTTACTCTTTGAAGGTCAACTTTTCACCAATAGACCATGTGCTTTTGGCAGCTTTTGGCCTCGGCAGGACTGTTTGCATCACTGGGCTCAGACCACACTTCATGTGCCCCAGAAAGGTAGACTGTGTAATGGAAATAAAATATAAAACTGTTTCAGTCTTGGAGCGGCACCAGACAAGAAAGCACGCAAATATAGTTGGCAATCCCTGACACCTGAGGAGGCTCCAGATCAGCAGGGCGACCTCGCCCAAATAATGACACTTGAAAGCCAAGACTATTCAAGTAAGAATTAGATATGTATGGAGATTTTCCAAAGGAGAGGCGGTAAAACTGTTTCTTCACACAAGCTATTCTTCCCTACCAAAGGTCTGGGAGGGAAGGAAAGATAAGGGTCCTAGCCAGCCTTCTGCTGGGAAGTGTCAGCCATGCCTAGGAGCCCATCATTCATCATCATGTGGCACAGATGATTACTATGAACAGCTCAGGTGTTCATAATAATGGACTGGATTCAGTTTTCTATTTATCAAATCCTATCTGTATGGTGGATAAAACTTCAGTCTTGCTGTCAAGGCTTACAAATCAGTTTCTCCTATACTAATGTAAATCCCAAGGTTTGGCTCCTCTTGCCAAAATGGATCCCATACATACAATACATACTTGAGGGAAAACAAAAATACCATATCTCTCTTATTCCTGAAAGAGTTTCAGGACATTAAAAATTATCTAGTGCCCAAGGGAGAGAATACAGTCATGGGTTCTTAGTTTCTGTTTCTGGTCGGGCCAGTAAAGCCCCTTCCTCATCCCTCTTTTCCACTTAACACTAGAGACAGACACTAAAAACCATGGCTTCAGGCTGCTAAAAGCCTAAAACAAAACAAAACAAAACAGAAAAACAACAACAACAACAATAAGGAAGGTTGTACAAACTTAATATAGTCTTTCCCTCTGGGCCTTAAAAAAGAAAAGTGTGGCTTGTTGTTCCTCACTATGCTGAGGGCACTCTGGTTGAGATTGGGTGCCATGAGGTGTAAAGTGATTGTCGAAATTCAGATCAACAATGAAAACAGTTCTCTGATTTAGAGAAAGCTACTGGATTCCCACAAAACCTGGCCAAGTGTGGGCAACAGGGAAAGACGGAGCAGGTGAGAAATGAACCAGATCAGTGGTATCATAATAGTTGTGACTACATTTCCTCATCAGTAAAATAAAGCACCTTGGGAGGCCGAGGCAGGCGGATCATGAGGTCAGAAGATCGAGACTATCCTGGCTAACACAGCAAAACCTCGTCTCTACTAAAAATACGAAACAAAAATTAGCTGGGCATGGTGGCACGTGCCTGTAGTCCCAGCTGCTCGAGAGGCTGAGGCAGGAGAATCACTTGAACCCAGGAGGTGGAGGTTGCAGTGAGCCAAGATGATGCCACTGCACTCCAGCCTGGGCAACAGTCTCCGTCTAAAAAAAAAAAAAAAAAAAAAAACCAGTGGCAGTGATATCATTCAGAACCACCACCCCGTGTGTCAATAACTAGCCCATAAAAAGTCTATGCCCTTCAAATATCACTACCTCTTCAGAATAACCAGGAACTTTTACTGCTTAACTAAAGCAACATGGGGTTCTACCAACCTACTACTTTCTTATTGCTACAGTAGACTACATAATCTTTGATTGTCAAAAATAAATAACCAGAAGTCCATACTGATATAAATATTAATAAATGACTGAATAAATAAATGGGGGAAAGAGACAAATCTCTCGTGCAGAAAAATTCCAAATTATTTATATAGATAAACTGCTCTCAAAGAGATGGAGTATAACTGCTCACTCCTTAAGCGTGGGTTGTGCAGTGAATTCCTTCCAAAGAGTATAGTATGAAAGGGGAGAAAAAACAAAAACTTCACAGTGGAGAAGCCTTACATATATACTACTACAGCCAGGTGATCAAAGTTAACAACAGCAATAAATTATATTGACAGTATGTACCCTTCATATGATGTGATGAAAATGGCACTTTAGGATGGGTGCAGTGGCTCATACCTGTAATCCCAGCACTTTGGGAGGCCAAGGCAGGTGGATCACTTGAGGTCAGGAGTTCAAGACCAGCGTGACCAACATGGTGAAACCCCATCTCTACTAAAAATACAAAAATTAGCCAGGCATGGTGGCGGGCACCTGTATTCCCAGTTACTTGGGAGGCTGAGGCAGAATCACTTGAACCCAGGAGGCAGAGGTTGCAGTGAGCCAAGATCACGCCACTGCACTCCAGCCTGGAAGACAAGAGCGAGACTCCATCTCAAAAAGAAAAAAAAAAAGGCACTTTAATTCTGTGGTCTTCCTCCTAAAAACCCATAACAGACTAGTTATGAGAAAAACATCAGACAAATCCCAGTAGAAGTATGTCCTTCAACATGCCGAACCAATACTCCTCAAAACTGTCAAGGTCATAAAAAACAAAGAAAGTCCATGCTATGGTCTAAATATTTGCATCTCCCCAAAATTCATATGTTGAGATTCTAAACCTCAAGGTGATGGTGTGGGAGATTATTAGGTCATGAGGGTGGGGCCCTCCTGAAGATAATTAGTGCCCTTATAAAGGAGGCTTGAGAGAGACCCTTCATCACCTACACCATGTAATAGGAAGAAGGTTCTGTCTACGAGGAAGGGGGCTTTCACTGGACACAAATCTGTCAGGATCTTAGTCTTGGACTTCCTAGCCTTCAGAACTACAAAAAGCAAATTTCTATTGTTTATGTGTCACCTATGCTATTTTGTTATAGTAGCCTGAACAGACAGTCTGAGAAGTTGTCACAGCCAAGAGGAGCCTAAGGAGACATGATAACCAAAGGTAATGTGGCATCTTGGATAAAATTCTGGAACAGAAAAAGGATATTAGGTAAAAACTAAGAAAATCAGAATAAAATATAGACATCAGTTAATAATAACTAGTAATAGTATTCATAATAATTAGTTGACAGTATATCATTATTTGTACATTAATTACAATAAATATATAATATTAATATAAAATATTAACAATAGGGGAACTGAATGAGAGGTATATAGGGACTCTTTATATCATCATCACAATTTTTCTTTACATCTAAAACCATTCTAAAAAATAAAATCTATTTTAAAAATGAATGAATGTGTAAACAAATAATAAAAAGACCATTTTTTTAAGATCCAACAGTAGAGAGTTGTAATGAAGAAAAGATCAATTATGTATCCCATTACTGGTTCTGTGTTAAGGCTGCCTCACCTTCCCAGGCCTCTGTTTCCATGTCTGTAAAAGGCAGTGTGGTGTAATGGTTAAGCAGCATAGGCTTTGAGCCAGAAAGTCCTGAGTTTGCATTCCAGCTCTGATTTCTATGAGCTCTATGATCTCAAACCTTGGTTTCATTATCTAATAATGCCTACCCCATAGAGTTAACATGAAGACTAAATGAGATGGTGTGCTTGGAAGCATTTAGGTAAGTAGAAAGCATATAAAAGTGTCAGGGACAAGTCATTGGAGGAAGCTGGAGCCTCAGCAGGAATAAAGCCCTGTGATCACTTGTATAAATGGACAAAGCTGTGTCAGACATTGTTAGCAGGATGATTTGTCCTCAAAGTCAAGTAGCAAGGAAGGCGAGGACAGTAGACGAGGCTCCTCTCTTGTCTCCTTTTGGGCACCAGGTCTGATAACCTTCCCTCCTAAGAAGGACTAGGAGCTAAGAAAATGAAGCAGAGCTGCTTGTCTGGACCTCTAGTTGAAGAGGAACAGGCTGGCAGCACCGTCTTGGAAAATCCATAAAGAAATCGACTGACAGTTTTATTTATTTCAGCTGCTTAATGGAGCACATTTTTGCCAGTGGATATTGAAATCTTCGTTCCTTTCAGAGGAATGATTGCTGCACCTTCCTCTTTAGGACCACTCACCTCATGTTCAAAATACAGCTTTGGAGGAGAATGAAATGTTTTTCAAGAGCACGTAGGGGTTGCAGCTTTTGCAGTAAGTTTCCTCATATAGCTTCAGAACTCATCAAAGAATCCACTCCCAGCAGGCCTCGGTCTCTGCTCTCTCATCCTGTGAGCCCAAACTTTCAGGAGCACTAGGCCAGGACTATCCTGAATCCCCTGCCAAAGATGCAAAATTCAGGCTGATGCCCATTCTCTGAATCCTCTGACGTTTCCCCAATCCTGTATTTAAAATGATCCTTATCCTTTTCAGCTAGGATGTGACCCTAAAAAGGCACATTTAGGATCATTTTCAAGAGTCTTGTCTTGGCACAGGTAAGACTCTTTTCATATCAATCTTTGTCTAAGATCACATTGGGTAATGGAAAGACCTCAGCAATGATTCTTCATGTATCAAAAAAAAAAAATGGCAAGATCAGAGAATGGCTCTGGAGTCAGAGAAGATGGAGTTAAAATCCTGATGCTGTCACTTATTAGCTGAGTGACCTTTTGGCAGGTTGCTTAACTTCTCTGAGCCTCAGTTTCCTTATCTCTAGAAGGGCAATACAATCTTTACAAGACTCAAGTTAGATGATGAATGCGAAGTGCCTAGTGCCACACTAGGTGCATGCTCGGCATTCACTAAACAATAAGTTTAGCAGAATAGGGGTTTCAAATGAAATAGAGATGGTCCCATAAGCCTTTGGAAATTTGCTTAATGTAGAAGGTGAAACAAGCTACATAAATGGAGCTGAATAATTTGAAATTGGTTGAGAAAAAAATGAACTCTCAATGAGATTACGAATCATTCTAGTTGCTGTCTTGGACTTGCTCCAAGAATAATTATTGTGGTTTTAATTTACAAGATGAAATAGGAGCTGCTTCTGAGAGTAAAGGGAGAAACAAGAGGGTGGTCTGACCAGTCCCCACCACCCACATTCACAACCTGCATGGCCAACACCAACCAGTGGCCTTCCAACTACCACAAAGCCCCTGGAACAGCTTCATGTCCCTAAAACCAGGTTCTTTTCCTATGTATTGTCATGACGGAGGCCCATAGGCCCGGAGAGGATCGCATCTGTTCCCACCACAGGTGACACAAGTTCCAGCCAGGCTCTTCAAAGCACAACCTGTTCTGTACTCTCTGCCCGCCCCCTCCTGCTAGTTAAAGATGTCAGTGAAGCTGAAGAACTCAAGACTGATTGATAACAACTTCAATCTCCTGAGGCTCACTTGTTCCTTTTTTAAAAATTTCATTCTGTTTGCCAGCTGCTTCTGTTCATAAAAGGCTGGGGAAACATTAGCACCATATGTCTTCTGGTTATCTGGGTGTCTAATGCAAAATGTATTTAAAGGATTTATCAAATTCTAATAGACAAGCTAGAATGAAAGTTCTGGTTTCCTGCAGACATTTCAAATTTTCTCTTTCTTTTCTTTGAGGAAAGCCATGGCTCACAGCCTCAGACTCTGCCAGCTGTTCCCTCTCCCTCCTCAATTTGCCTCTGGTGCCTGGCATGGAACTTTGCATCTGTGCATATTGAGCAGATATGTATGAAATTTAAGGGAACTGTGAATATAAGGAGAGAATTGTCCTGAGTTACACAATTAATATAAATACAGAGGCTTGGCATCAATTTTAAGTTAGAGTTCCTCTGTTAAGTCCTGAAAATGTATTTGCTCATGATGAGTGATAGATTCTTGTATCTCTAGCTATATTTTGGGAATAAGTTAAATACCCACTTTTGATTCTTTTTGAGGCATAGACTTGGATGCCTTGCTTTTAATCTATGAATTGGAGAGGACTACCCTCATTTACCACTTCCCCTGGAGAACCAGAAACCCCACTCTCCCTGCCAAAAGACTCAAATTAACTATTTACAGATAATGAAACTATATCCCTTAATTTAAAATCAATAACTAACAATCTCAAGGGCTTACTGGGAAAAAAAATGCTTGACGCTCTTCCAGCACGTTGTCTGTATCTTTGGCTACTCTAGTTCAATTGTAGTTAATTGGTCTCTTTGCTGGTTGTTTTCCCACAAACACTGAAAAATCCTTAATGGAAGGGGCTGCACCTCCGTATACACCCCTAGCACTGGGCACAGTGTGTGGCTCGTGGTGACACTGGAATATCGAGAGACTTGAGACAGGATTAGGTTGTTACTGAAAAAGTCAAGACAAGTGATAAAAGGATAAAGCAGGCACTGCCCAGTACTACCTTACAGAGAGCACTAGATGACACACAAATAACAAAACAGGGGACCTAATCAAGTATCTTGCTGTATAAATGAGCATGGCACCCTGGCTTGTCCTGCCTGAAATCCCCACTCTATGCCACACTCTAGACTGGGCAGCAAAGCTAGAAACAATAGCTCCAAAAGTCCACCGTGAACACATTATTATCTAGAGATAGCATCTTGCATTCTACATTTTGCTCAACACCAGTCACAAGACCTTCTCTGCGTGCGAGAAACACTGAGCAACTAGGTCCTGAGCACTTCCATGTAATGCAATAGAAAGATGAGGCCAACCCACTTCCACCAGGTCCCAATATCACAGACAATCTCACCTCTTCTCCTTCCAATTCCCACTGGCTGTTAGCCTGCCAGCCTCATTGCGGTGTTTTATAAATTCAGCTCTCAGCACAGACATGCTGTTTGGGGAAAGGAAGCATGTGCAGCAGAGATCTTGCCTGAGTTAAATGCCTCTCCACTGCTTCTGAAAGTGTGACATCTCATCTGATGTGAGCTCACTCCAGCTGCACACAGTCCCCTGGTACGAGGAGCGTGTTCCTGCTTCTCAGTCAACCTATTACCTCTGAGTCTCTGACAGTCAGGCTTCCTCATGTCTGACTTGTTCCAGCTCCAGCAGGGCAATTTACTGTTTAATGTAACTGTGCAAATGGTTTATCTGGAAATCCATGTGCTTCTTTTGGCAGCTGTGTTTTCTAATAGCAAACTCAGGGGTCACAAGTGTGTTCACTCTTATTTTTAAACAATTTGCAGGTAAGTATGCAAAATAATTTAAATGACATACAATCCAGTTAAGCAATATCTAGCTTAGAGGCCAAGGCAACTCCAGGTTAGCTAGAAAGGAGTCCCGGTGGGCCTAGCTGAAAATTCCTCTTAATCAGAAGATGGCAAAGGAGGAGGAAACTGAGAGTGATAGTCATGTATGTTGACTCAGCTGTCTTGAACTAAAGATGATATTTATTAAGGGTTTTAATATCTCACTCTCAAGATATTGTGAAAGTTGCAAGAATGGGTTTCCTGGAACCAAAATGCTTAAGGGAAATTTCAATTCTATCCACCACATTACAGCAGAGAATTTTTCATTTTTTCTGACTTTCAGCTTCTATTTTAGTAATATGCTCCTAGAGGCAGGAAAATACCATTTATTACTTTTCTAGTTTTAGCCTGTTTCATTTGGCAGGCTGTGAATTCTTCCCTCCTAGAAGATCCTTGTGGGGTGAAAGCAATGATGGGGCTGTTTACTTGGCAAGGCTCTCCTTCTGAGAGGTCAGTAGAGAGTATAGGACGGTCGTGGTGCTTGGTTTCCTTCTGTTAGGGGGAAAGGATGCTTAGAAACATGGCAGTTTCTCTCTAACTGATGAACAGATACTCAGAGATAGTTCTACCCATATAGAAAACAAAGAAGCAATCTCACTTTGAACACTTAGAGAAAGGGAGTTCAGCTCTTCAAATTAGAAACTGCTGAGGAACCCTCATATGAACAGTGACTGAGGGGACTGAATAAAGAGAACCTTATCTATATGACAAACTGACAGGAATTGGGTCCCAAAAGTAATTAATTAGCAGTTAGCCTTAAGTGAGACGCTCATTTAGAGCATTAGATCCTCCTCTTCCTTCTCCTCCTTCCCCACTTTCACATCTCTTCTTTTTTCCAATGTCTTCCCCTTTCCCTCTTTTCCTCCTTCATTCAAAGGAATGAGAAAACCATGCTACAAAGTATAAGCTCTCTGCTGAGACGTTTTAAAATAGCTTTGAAATGGAAAAGTACTAAATCTGTAGCTTTCAAAGGGTATGGAGAAGGAGAAAGAGTAAGTCCCTGAACTGGATAAATGTGACCATTAGAAACAGTCACCTTTTTCTGATTGTTGTCTTACACCCTCTCCATCTTCTGGCCAAACTACATGTGGGGTTGCTACTAGTAAAAAGGGTCACATAGATGTCACTGCTGCACAGATCGGCCTCCCACAAGAAGATTCCTTCCCCAACGTCTGCTCCTGGGTTCTCCCACTGGAACCTTTTCCCCTGCAACTCAAGCTCTGCCCTCCTCTACCCCATCTTCTATTGCCTGCTTCTTTACTGGTCACCACCTGGAACTCCAGGGCCGCAAACCTAATCCAAGCCTTTGTTTCCTTTCCTGGCATCTGCCCTTCTTTGAGTGAATAATTCCACCATCAAAGCTCCAATGTATGACTCTCAAGCTTACATGGAAAAATACCACTGACTGGTTCTCCCAAACCACAGTCTCACTTGGGGGCTGTTCTCATTTTAGAGGTTAATCCTCAGAAGTTAATTCTTTCTGTCTTCTAAGCTACTTAATGGTGACTCCACAGAAGAGCTTAAGCAAGAGGTTCTAGAATAAGCTTTGACCTCCAAGTCAGTGTGAAGTGCCAAATTGGGGCTCTGCCTAAGGTTCCAGGGAATAAACATGACCTCAAATGCAACAGGAGCATGCCAGGACACACACACACACACACATGCCCTCACACACAACACAACTTTATAAGATAACCATTTGTTCCCAGAGTTGGTTTGTTACTTATCCATATTGAAGAAAGAGAATCTCCGTGAATTGCACACACCCTACCTTTGGCTTTTCATTCTCATGCGGGATGTGGCAGTCTTGAGTCATGTTCAACTTATGACTTCCGGGTCATGTCCTAGGGTTTCTGTACATTAGGAAGGGCAAGGGCCCCCTTAATATCATCAATAATTTGAAAATTACCATTAAAACAGTCAAATGTCAAAATTTTTTTCTCTACCAAACTGGAAAGGTTTAAAAGTTTGACAATACGCACTGTGTGTAAGAAGGTGAGGAAACAAGTGTTACATACACCATTGCTAGGAGTATACATTTGGGTAATCTCTTTAGCAATGTTTTTAGCAATTTATTTCAAAATCCAAATTTTCCCACATATACAACAATGTGTATATGCATCAGTGTTGGTAATAATGTAAAACTGGAAGCAACTTAAAGTTCCACCAATAGGGCACTGATTAAATACAGTATGGTATATCCCTACAACGAAATAATATACAGCTGTTTAAAAAATAGACATCAATTTGCGTAGGCTAATAGGAAAGACCTCCAAGATATATTGTTAAGTAAAAAGGCAATCTATAAATACTATGATCTCATATATATTTTAAAAGGATAGTTACATATGTAAACATATAATCATGGAAATTTTCTGGAAGAACACTGTATCAATCAGTGTCCAGTCAGGAAACTAACTGTCCTAGATATTTCAAATAGAAGAACTTAACACACCTGTTTAGCAGACTAAGACAAAAAGCTGAGAAGCTAAACAGAGCAGGGTGAGATACTGTAGGCTTTAGCAAAACAGAAAGTCACTACAATCCTTAGGCTGGAGGAAAAAAGCAGGGGATGGTGTCATCACAGCCCTGTGCTGAGGCCACCCAAAGGAAGCTGGAATCATGATGGGCCTCCCCAGAATACAGGTATTTGCCTTAGGGATGCCGCCCAAAGCCGAGGTGGGTTTCTCCTTCCTCCCCCTCTACAGTCTCCCACTGCTGCATTCCATTGGCTGAAGCTACCTGGAAACCACAGGGTAAATCAGAGGATGGAAGATGAGTTCCCTGCAATACAGAGCAGAGAAAAGAAGGATAGAGACTTGATCTGACAGCAAATAGGCAAATGGCTGGCGGACTATTATGGTAACTCCTTGACTGTGGCTACTTCTTGGGAGTAAAATGAAGTTTAGAGTCAAAGGATGATTTTTCTTTTGTAATCATTGAATATTTTATAAATTGCATAGATTTATTTTCAACATAACAACTTTTTAAATAGAATGAATTGTCACTTTTAAAAATTGTACGTTTCTATTTTGCATCACCTATGTTTACAGTGCTTCAGCACAGGACCTCTCTTCTTCAGACAAAGTATCAGATCTGAAAAGGAGCTCAGAATGTGTCTTTTATAAAATAACTGCTTTATGGACACAAAATTTGCACAACTTAAAATTCAACTTTTTAACGTGTACAATTCAGTGATTTGTAGTATATTCACAGAATTGTGCAACCATCACCACACTCAGAAAATTTTCATCACCTACCAAAGAAATCTCACACCCTTAGCAGTCACTCCCTGTTCTCCCCTCTCTCCAGTCCATGACAATTACTAATCTACTTTCTGTCTTTAAGGATTTGCATATCCCAAACATTTCATTTAAATAGAATTATACAGTGTGTGTCCTTTTGTGACTTATTTCACTTAGTATAATGCTTTCGAGTTTCATTCATGTGTAGAATATATAAATACTTCATCTCTTTTTATGGCTACATAGTATTCTGTTGTATGGCTATACTACATTTTGTTTAATCACTTGCTTGTTTCTCCTTTTATATTATTATGAATAATGCAGCTATGAAAATTTGTGTACAAGTTTTTGTGTTACCTTTACCAGTACTGTTTATAATTTTTGTGGATTTATGTTCTCATTTATTGTCCTTTCTTTTCAGCCTGACATACTCTCTCTAGTATTTCTTGTGTGGTATTTCTGCTAGCAACAAATTCTCTCAGATTTTATTTATCTGGAAAGGTTTTTTTTCTTCATTTTTAAATCATAATTTTGCTGGTCATAGACTTAAAACACAGATTTGCTGTCAATCTTGACTGACAGTTGTTTTCTTACAGCACTTTGAATACATCATTTTGCTGCTTCCTTGTGTCCATGGCTTCTGATTAGAAAAGCTATTATTATTATTATTCAGAATCTTTTCTACATGATAAGTCACTTTGCTCTTGCTGCTTTCAAGATTCTCTTTGTTTTTCAACAATTTGACTATGATGTGTATGTAGATATGGATCACTTTGATTTTGTCCTACTTGGTGTTTGTTGAATTTCTAAGATGCATAGATTAAGATTTTCATCAAATTTGGGAAATTTTTTGCCATTATTTCTTCAAGTATTCCTTCTGCTCCTTTTCTTCTCTCCCTTCTGGGGGATTCCATTATGTATGTTGATATGCTCAATGATGTCACATAGTTCTTTGAAGCTCTGCCCATTTTTTGTTATTATTTTTTCTTTTTGTTCCCCACATTATATAATCTCTATCAATCTGTCTTCAATTTATGGGATTCTTTCTTTGAGATGCTCAAATCTGATGTTGAGCCCTTCTAGTGATTTTTACTTTTCAGTTACACTTTTCAAATCTAGAATTTCTATTTGGTTCCCTTTGATCATTTCTATCTCTCTCGATATTCTCTGTTTGGCAAGACATTGTCCTCATACTTTCCTATAGTTTTTTAGGCATGGTTTATTTGAGTATATTTAAAATAGATGATTTAAAATCTTTGTAGTAAGTCCAATGTCTGGCTTTCTCAGGGACAGTTTCTATTAATGCCTTTTTCCTGTATATGAACCACACTTTCTTTTTTCTTTGCATATTTCTTAATTTTCATTAAAAACTATACATTTTAAACACTATAATGTGGCATCTCTGGAAATCTAATATCCACCCTCCCCAGGTTTTCTTGTTGTTGTTGTTTGTTTGGTGACTTTTTTGAACTATATTCATGCTCCACATAACAATGTTTTGGCCAACAATGAACAGTATACATAACAGCATCTCCAGAAGGTTATACCATCAGATTTTTACTGTATGCTTTCTATGTTTAGATATATTTAGATTCACAATTACTTACCATTGTATTAAAATTGTCTACAGTATTCAGCATAGTAATATGCTGTACAGTTTGGTAGCTGAGGTGCAACAGGGTGTATAGCAGGCTATAACATCTAATTGTGTGAGTATACTCTATGATATTTGCACAATGACAAAATCTCCTGACAATGCATTTCTTAGAACAAATCAAGTTGTTAAGCAACACATGACTATGATTCTGTACTCTACTGTCTTTTTGTGCATGGCCATTGGAGTATCTGCTTAATTAACTTAGTGATTAGTTAATTATTGGGCAGAGATTTTCTTAAGTGCCTTGAACCATTAAGTGTCCTATTCTTTGTTGAGAGGCTGTGTGTGTGTTGGGGTATGCCATCAATGTTCTGGCAGGCAGTTTACAACTCTTCCTTAGCCTTCACTTCCCAATTGCACAGAGACTCAAGATCAGCCAAAGATGAATATTTGGAACTTTTTCAGGTCTTTCCTATGTATGCACACATCAAAGCACATGTGCATGGATGCCTAGATTCCCAGGAATATGTTGAAGCTTTTCAAAACCCAATGAATGAGGACATCTCATTCCAAAATCTTTCCTTTTAAATTTTGTGGTCTACCTCTTCTAATCCCAACTGGAAATGCAACTTTGGGCAGTGTTATACTATTGCCACTAATTATTTTTGACAAATACACAGAGTAAGCTCTAAGCCAGGTTAAATAAAGACAAATCCTGGGAATAGAGGATTTTTTTAATAAGCTACCAGACAGGTTAAAAAGTGTCAAATTTCTGAAAATGGGACTTTTCAGGAGTTGTAAACCCATTCCACCTCCTCTAGTAGCTGCTAATTTACAGTTATCATAGCTACTATAATAGTGAAGGTGTTGATTTTCACATCTACTGCAGATCTAGGAAAAAGGAGATGGTACTACAGCAACTTCAAACACCACAAAGTTTACCATTTTTAACATGATTCAGTTGATTTTATTGAATAAATATTCCTTGGAATGTTGCAATTTTAAATTTTCAGAGTCCTGAAAATTTTGAGTTTGATCATTTTTACCAGTGTTCTTATTTCTTTTCTAGAGCAGTGAATTTTCAAAGGTCCTTATTCTACCATTCCAGAAGTGTTTCTTCATCTGGAATGCATCTTGTATCTGACTCTGCATTTTCAACAACCTTCCAAATATCTCTCTTTATTTCACACTCATAATTTTACACATATTTATATAAATGGCATTTACATAAAACATGCTATTATGGAAAGGTTTTTCTCACTTATTAATGTGCTATGGATCTTTCCATATCACTAAATGATCCATCATTTTAAATGGCTGCATTTCACTTAAGACATATTCCCACATTTTTTAAAGGTTATGTTATATTTGATATATGATGCATATATTTAAATTATGAAGCTGGAACCAAAAAATGAACACCCACAAACTCAACACTCAAAAACATTAAAACTTTCTTTGAAACATTAAATCAGGCTGAATAAGTGAGATATACACTGTGTTAATGAGTAGGAAAACTCAACATTCTGAAGATGTCAATTCTATTCAAATTAATTTACAAAGTAACAAAATTTCAATAAAAACCTCAACATGTTTTTAGAGGAACTGACAAGCTGACTTTAAAATTGGCATGAAAGAGCAAAGGCCCAAGAAAAGTTGAGAAGACTTGTTCTCCTAGATATTAACTATAAAGCTATAGTTAATATGATCTATTGAAGAAGATCAAAACAACCACTAAGTATAAGAAAAAGACGGACAAAAGTGATTGCGTTAAAATGAAGAATGTGTAAAAGAGCACCATAAAGAAGAAAGTAACAAAGGCTATAAACAGGAAGATGATATTGATAGGATTGTACTCTGTGGGTCAATTTGGGGAGAATTTACATCTTTACAATATTAAGACTTATTTCCCATTGATATGGCAAATATCTCCTTGTATTTATCCACATATAATGCCTTTCAATGAAATTGTGTCATCTTTGTAATATTCAGGTTTCTTGACAAACGTTTTCAAAAATTTGCTGCTTTCAAAGTTAACGACAAAAGTGCTAAAATCTTCAGTCAGTTAGATATTACACTTGCAATTTTCTAGTCAGTTATCTGTATTTCTGAGGCCAGATAGAAAATTCAGAAGCCTAAGAAACCTGAAAAGAAAGAGGTAAAATTGATAAGCATGATAGCCACTATGAATAGATTCTCTGCCTGATGTCTTATGTGCATCATCACATTAAATTCTCATAACACCAACTGAGAGAACTGAAGCTCTTAAAGCCAACATCTCACAGCTTACGAGAAATCACATATAGATAGACATTACCACCTTTGGAAAGAAAATAGACTTGGATATCCTCAGTCCCACTGCAGAGTGAGTTTAACACATTGACATTCTACCTTCTTATTGCATCAGAGATAGAGCAGAGGCATCTGTCGATAATTGAGCACTCATTCTGACTTCTGGAACAGGTACAGGAAAGTGCACAAACAAGATTAGCAGTTCCATATTTGGCAAAAAAAGAGAATGTTTCATTTATGTATTGTGTATAACAACTCATCACCAGATTTAGTGCTTAAAACTATAATGGTTCATTATTTTCCACAACTCTGCAGTCCCAGTGGGGTTTGGCTGACTTTTCTTCTATTGGTGCTGGATCAACCAAGATGACTTCCTTCGTATGTCTAGCACCACAGTTAGGATGGCTGGAACCACTGGCACAGTTCCAGTTGTTCTAGCATCTCTTCATCTCTCTCCATATGGTCTCTCCAATAAAATGGCCAGACCTCTTTATCTGGTGACTCAGGGATCCAAAATTGAGCAGTCCATAAGTACATGCCCCAGTGTGCAAGTGCTTTTAAAGCCTATTATTGTGTCATGTTTGCTAATGTCCCATTGATCAAAGTCCAAAGGCAATATGGGAGAAAATGACATAAAATGTGAATATCAAGAGACATGGTTTATGGGCTGTAAAATGTATGAGTTAGAATTTTTAATTTACATTGTAGGTCTAGTTATAAAGGCTAGATCAGACAGAAAAGTGCTAAGAGGAACCTGGAGTCATTAGATCTTCTGAAGATGAGCTGGAAGGGGATCAAGAGGACCTCAACTACACTGCAAATTTCTAGAAAGTCCCCCTCCAGAAAGGTGAAGTATCAATAATAAGTGTTAGTCCAGGACAACAGCCAGCCTTAGTCTAGGACATCAGTCAACCTCACAAAGCCTAACATGAGAGAAAGGGGTTTCTATAGATGGGCATAGCATTGCAATATGAAATCCAGAGGCAAATAATATTCAGGAATCAAAAAGGCAGAAAAGTGATCTAAAGGAGCAGATCTAACCATAGAATTCTAATTCCTGAGTAAGTAATAGGAATAAATTCAAGTCTCAGTTTCAGGCTGAGAGGAACTGGGAACGCTGGAGATGTAGTGATGGCAGACCCTATGAAAATGGGAACAAAACAGTTTCCACATATTCAGAAGCAAAGTATTCAGCAACAAGTTGGTCTCAGGGACTAGAAAAAGTCTACTTGTTGAAAATGTGAAGCAACATCAGAGGTATACTAACCCAAATGTGACTTGGTTCCAAAGCCCTGTGCAATGGTTTGAAGATGCTTAGATTTCCCCAAATCACAGAACTGGTGGGCCCAGCCTATAGGGAGTAGACACATGTACTTTATATATTAAAGCATCCTTTCCTTTAAGGAACCCCCACTAATCCATTCTGCATGGTTTTGATGGAATTATAACTGCCTCTTCTCTACTCCACAGCCACACAATGGGCATGTGACCCAGGCCTTGTATATAATAACTGTCCCCTCAACAAGAGAAATTTGTGTTAGGGGTTAAGGCTGTTCTCTAAATAGTGCTAGTGTCCTTCTCTATGACTGATTTTTCAACCATGGAAAATAGAACTTTCTTTCTGTTGGGATTGCTAAATTGAGAGAATGTAAATCTGAGTCTGAGTAGTTGGTTTTTGCTTTCTGTCACATAGAGAGTCTTTCCATAGGATAAAGTCAAGCAGAAACAAACACACACAAGAGAGAGCAAGTCTTGGTGGCTTTCTCTGAGACTAGATTTCCTACAGCTCTTCTTTCAATCCTGTTTGTTGTAACATTATCTTTCCCTCTCACAGGAGTGACTGTATTAGTCTTATCAAGCTGCTGTAACAAAATACCACCAGCTAGGTAGCTTAAACAACAGAAATTTATTTTTCGCAGTTCTGGAGGCTGGAAAATTCAAGACTAAGGTACCAACTAATTTGCTTTCTGGCAAGGGCTCTCTTCCTGACTTGCAGACTGCCACCTTCTTGCTGCATCCTCACATTGCATTTCCTTAGTGCATGCACACACAGAAAGAAAGAGCGCTCTGCTCTTTCTTCCTTTTCTTATAAAGACACTAAATCTATAGGACAGAGCCCTATATTTCACATTAATTAAGGAGTTAAGGGCCCTATCACCAAATACAGTACCATTGTGGTTTAGGGTTTCAACATATGAATTTTTGGGGGGACATAAACCTTCAATCCATAGCAGTGACTAAATCCATCTTTTTGCCTAAAATTGTGTGTTCCTACCACCTTACAACCAAAATAATTATGAATTTGTAGAGAAAAGAGCTATTGCTCAGGTGGGAGGGTTGTGAAAGAGACCCTTGTAGATCTCATTTCTTAATTCAGAACATATCAAATAACTGCAATGAATAGGTGTTGGTGCAACTCTATTTCTAGTGCTATTCTGTAAAAATGACATCAGGGGATGTACTGTGTTTCATTTACTCAGGGGCATTTTTTAAAGTATCTATTATGTGCCAGACTAAAGTACTAGGGAATAAAAAGTCAAGAAAGACAGCTGCCTCCAAGAGAACTCTTCTTCTCCATTATTTCTTTCCAAATGCATTCACACATACTGCTAGAGGCATTTCTGTTATCAAATCTGGTTCTATTTATTATTAAAAACTTGGCAAAACCAAACAGTAGCACAGATTGACAAGGAAAAAGTTGATTACTCATGTAACAAGAAAAGTAAATAGCTAAAATGTAAACATTGAAAATTTAACCCTAAACTCATTCGAAACTAAAAAATAACATCTTTTAAAACAAAATTGCTGTGAAAACGTCTTTACCCAAAATTTTGGTCCACAGCCTTTATTAGATTACCTATCAGGGTAAATAAAGTTTAGCCATGTGAACATGTCCCATTTTATCAAAATATAATTTGGATCAAACTGTCTTTTATAAACTGGTGAGTCTGTGTTTTACTGTCTCCTGACCAAAATTCAAAAATGAAAGCCATAAAAAATCTGTTTGTGTGTATGTATTTAGGTGTGTTTATGCAAATATTTGTATATTAGGTTGTTTGATGTGTCTACATGTTAAAATCTGGCATAGGCAGCCAGAAATCCCTTAAGGAATTCTATTCAGATTGGCTTAAATGAGCACTCATATAAAGTACATGAGTGCCAACACAAATGCCTTTTAGTTCACATGACTTAAGTAAATTTTTAATAAATAAGCTGGTTTTAAAATTGTTGGTAAAATTAAAATAGCAATGTCTTCAAAATTGTTAGCATACATTTTGCCTGTTTACTGGTCAAATAGTTTTATGTTTGTTCCTGACAGACGTTTTAAGGTATCTGGGTTTGACACGAAGGTTATAAAACTATAAACCCAGCCTAAAACAGAATGATCTTTGTTTGTACAAATCTTTAATAAGTATGACTAATGTAATATTGTTGGTTTAATTAAAACAGCTATATTTCCTGAGTTATTAGCAAAATATCCACATATGTAGCTTTAAGTTTCTTACTTAAGGAAACACCTATACTCACAGGCTATAAAAATGGTTAATAGGAAAATAACTTGAAATGATGACTAGCTTTGCCTAATATCTCAGTTTTCATAAGTAATCTAGGTAAATTGTTCAAAATAAATAAATTACGTAAATTTAAATGAAATAAACGTTTATAAATGGGCTTTTCATGTAATTTGAAATCTCAAAATTATGTTGAATTATATAATAGATATTAAAGGTCTGGGTCATTTTTAAATAAGATACAATATGGAAACAAATTGATGAACATAAATATGTTTTTTCTTGGCTTTTTACATTTTATAGAGAGATTAAATATATTTGGGTCTCAGTATATGTGTGAAGATTATGTTATGGAAAAATGTTTCTAAAAATTATAAAATGGTTCTTTTCTATAAAATGCTAATATGTGACAGATAATTCAAAATTACTTGCTATAAATTAAGGTTACTAACAGTTAAAATTCTGATTAAAATACATAGTTCTGTATATAAAGTGTGCCAGGAAATTAAGATGTGTTTTTTAATGAAAAAAAATTACCAGAAAGGCATAAAATGTGTTTTTATTGAGAAAAAAATGGGAAACAGAAACAAGATAGAAAGGAGCTAGTAAGTAGGAGAGAGAGAGAGAGACGTGAAGAAAGCTACAGGCATGAAGATGTATTTATGGTATGGAAGGTCACAAAGAAAAAAGAATAATTTTATATGAGAAAGAATCTTGTGTGATAATTTTTTTCCTAAAGGAAAATGACTGCTTATTTAAGAAAGAGGAAGTATAGGACAAAGCAGAAAGCTACTCAGACCACTCAAAATGGTCTGAGTAAGCCACGGTAAGGTTCATGAAAGATGAATTTATGAGAGGAATTTTTGTGTGATCAAGTTTCTATAATTAGAAGGGAATTATTTATAAGTCTTTCTAAACAATGAACTTTGATTTTAAAAATACACTAATACAAAATTAAAAATGTGGTCCCCTATGGTAGAATCCTGTTTGGTCCCCTACAGTAGAAAGTTTTTGAAGCACTGATCTATCAGTAGTAAAAATTGCAGGTTTTGATTTTTAATTCTAAAACCTGGTTCTTTAAAAGCCATACTTTAAACTGCAGGTAGTTTCTATTTCTGTCACATTGCTTCCTTAGATCCACTTAATTCCCCTAGTTTCAGGTCAGAAATGCTGTCTTTTTCATTTAGAATGGTAATTTTACTTCTTGAGGTTGAGTTTTCCTCTTCAAGCTTTTTTTGGGGAAACTTTAAAAATCAGAAGAAAAAGATTTCAAAGAGAAATCTGAAATTGCCTGGGGCAATAATCAAATGAATCAGATTAATACCTCAGAAGTTCAACTCTTGCTGTATCTTGCAGCACATAATTTGTAATTCATGCATCATTGTCTTCAGTTCCTTATCTTCTTGAGATGACCTGGGATAAGTGTCTCCTTCAACTTTTTGAAAGCTCCTGAAACTCTGCTGTTATGACCTAATGCTGAAAAGTTTGTCTTAAAGACATTTTTTTTAAAAAAGCAATGTTTTCCTCCAGTATAACTTGATTCTGCACTCTTGGTGTTTCCTAATATATCCAAATTATTCCATGTAATAACCAGACACACATTCTTCCTATGTCTGATTAAATTCAAGAACACTTTCATCAGGTTCAACTTCCAGGTTATCTAAATGGACTTTTCATAAGAAGAAGCAATCACATTGCAGGAGGTTTTTGTTTTACCTTTTTGGTAACTGGCTGTATTAGTCCGTTCTCACACTGCTGTAAGGAAATAACTGAGACTGGGTACTTTATAAAGGAAAAAGGTTTAAGTAACTCACAGTTCCACATGGCTGGGAAGGCCTCAGTAAACTTACAATCGTGGTGGAAGGGGAAGAGGCATGTCTTACATGGCAACAGGTGAGACAGAAAATGCACATGGAGGAGAAACTGTCAAGCACTTATAAAACCATCAGATCTCATGAGAACAGCATGGGGAAACCGACTCCATGATCCAATTACCTCCCACCAGGTCCCTGCCCTCAACACGTGTGGATTATGGGGTTTACAATTCAAGAAGAGATCTGGGTGAGGACACAGAGCCTAACCACATCACTGGCCTAAAAAAAAAATTACACTTTATCAAAATAATTTCTGACGTTGTCTTTATTAGGTTTATTATTACTTAGGGAAGCTAGACTTTAAAAGGGTTAAGGGTTTTTTTTTTTTTTAATCCGTGTAACTTTCTGTATTGCTTTTGAAGAATTTTGATCATCACTCTGGTTGAATGAATGACAATTATTTCACAGTGACCTGTGATCCCATTTTGATCAAGTGTTTTAAACTTTTTGGCATGTTTGGCAGGCTTCTCCAGGACCAAAATTCTAAATTAAGTATTTTTGACCTAGAAATAGCTTTGGTATTTTCCAGTGAAGCCCCCAGAGAGCTTGAAAGAATATGTCTCTCATCTTGTAGAGATATTAAATGATTAGGCTTATTTGGTAAATTGTATGGGAAACATTGGCAAATGATAAGTAATGTCAGATCTTTCAGTCACATTCATGTGGTATGTTATTTATATGAATATTCCAATATTGCATAAAACTCTTAGAAATTTAATATGTCATCAGTCATAATTCTAAGTATTATGTTATATGTCATAAAAGTAACTAGATCTCCTTGTTAACTACTGATTATAATAAACTTCCATTATATTTAAATTTGGCTATTCTAAATATTTGTCATCCAAAATTATTTTTTAAATTCTTTTCTAAAAGCATTTGCACTCAGATTTGTGGAAAACTCTAACCCGCACTCTTAAATACAGGTTTCTAATAACTTTAAGATTAATGGATTAAATAAAATGTTTTCAAAACTTGAATAAAAAAACTGATGAGGTTATAAAACTGTTAATCAAGACCAATCAGAACAAAATTAATTACATCAGATTAAATAACTAAAGTTAAGCCAGGCACTGTGGCTCATGCTCATAATCCCAGCACTTTGGAAGGCCAAAGCGAGTAGACTGCTTGAGCCTAAGAGTTCAAGATCTGGGCAACGTGACAAAACCCTGTCTCTACAAAAAGTATAAAAATTAGCCAGGTGTGGTGGTGCACACCTGTATTCCCAGCTACTTGGGAGGCTGAGGCAGGAAGACTGCTTGAGCCCAGGAGGTTGCAGCTACAGTGAGCCGTGATTGTGCCACTGCAATAGAGCCTGAGCAACAAAGCAAGACCCTGTCTCTAAATAAATAAATAAATAACTGAAGATAATGTTTTTATGACTTTTATTTAAAACACTATTGGTTATTTTACTTAAATATTTTGTTTTCCAGATTTAGAGAAATCTTCTCTCTTAAGCTATCTATAGTTTACAGCAACTTGGTAAAATATAGTTTTGTGGACAAAGATGAAAGCATTTGCTTGTTCTTCCTACTCGAGTCCTCCAAATTTTGTAAATTATTTGTGAGTATTCATATGGCAAAAGGGTTATTTGCATAAGCCCAATGAAAATCTACTCTCTTTTCATAGCAGAATACAATTGGAAACATTGCTTATATTACCAATGTCTTTTATTCATGTTTTTACTGAAATGTCATATTTGAGAATATGCATATATTACCTGACTTCAATGCTTCCCATCCTTACAGTGAGTAGCTCAAAATTATCACTTTCTGGCAGGCCCAGGAACCCTAAGACTGTAGGTAAAACCTAAAGTCTGCCTTGGCTTGGCTTCCTAGCTACAAGAGGTTTTAAATCAGAGATTTCCATATGACCAATGTAAGAGAAAAAGTGATGTTTCTAATAAAAAGACAATAATATACCTGTCATTAGATTGAAGCTCTGTGCATTGTTTTCTGGATCTCATTATCTACCTATAGGCTAGACTATATATTGAGTTCATATAGATTTCTCTAATCCAAATTTCTTCCATAGAATTATGAAACACGAAAAATGCTTTAAGGCCTTGTAAGCTAAAACTAGATGAATTTTAAGGAACAAGTCTCATGCCTAATTTATGGGCCACATAAAAAGTTCACCAAACTGCCTGATGCCATAACCAGTGACATTCAAACTACAAACCAGGATAAGAAGTTGATGTTTTCAGGCTATAAACAGCTTTTCCCAAGATATCAGAATAAGACTTCATACTGCAATAGGACTCTTACTTCTCTTAATGCCTATCTTTTTCAATTGCCAGGATAATGTGACTTATTCAATTGGTTGCCTTTAAGCCTAGGTCCATGGTTCAAAACCACTATACATATTGTATTACATATTGCTATAAATTTTATTTTGTATTTTTCCTTTTTAAACTTTATTACTCGTTAAATGTTTGTGGAAGTACAACTCCTAACAGAATAATGCTGGCCCAACATTTTGAGATGACAGTAAAAAAAGCTACAGAACAGACAAAATCAATAACTTAATAATGGACTCCAGGAGGACTTAGCCTGAGAGCCATTCCGGTTAAACTCTCTTGTTGCTGAAATGTGGCTGAAAGTTTTGTTCACACTAACTTGTAGTCACCATTCACTTTCTCCAACATGGGATCAGACAAACAAACTGAGATAGGGCCGTCTTGGAACTGAAGGACAATCAAAACCTAACCACAGGGTGATTAATTAGTGATGCTTTTAGAGAAAGATCTTGATTAAAATGGAGAAATGTGAAAGTTGTCAGAATCGAAATGGAGTCACTTCTTAGGAATGGGTCATACAAAGCTAAGTGGTAATGATGCTATTTGGGGAAAGGTCTTTTTTGCTTAATTTTGTTTTTTAAAACTCTGATATTTGCTTGAGCAACAAGCAGGTTATCTGCCTGGTTGAATTCTGGTTGAACTGTGTATTCTAGTATTTCCAGTTAAGTGGTGACTAGGTAAAGAAACCACTTGGGGTAGCAATTCAACAATTCACTTATGAACGTTCATAAGCTTTCCATTTCCTAGGTAATTTTTTAAAAGCCAGTCAAAACAAAAAAACTTCACTGTCTACTATACCTAAAGGAAATGGCCTTTTTCCTTACTGACTATACCTTCTGAATCTTGGTATTATAAAGCTCTGGGGACCTCTGAGTTTGTTCTGACCATTCGTTAGTCCGCATGGCCAAGCACTCAAGGATTGATGGATACCACACACCAGCTACATTCACTTGCTAAAAACAACAGCTCTTTCTCCAAACAACTCAAACCCCCAGTTCCCATCGCATTCCATTTGGGTGAGATGCAACTAACAGTCCCCTTCCAGGATAAAGGAGTCAAAGAATAAAGCTTGCCTAGAGGCAAAAAATAATAATAAAAACAACAGCAAAACCTGACAAATAGAACCAGGGAAGGTCATGAAGAGAAGAATTCTCATGAACAAATGCCTGATAACAAAAACTATCACAAAAGCCTAGGCAAAAACTGCAACCTTGCACAAAAAACACTTCTGCAAGGTCATCTGCCCAGCAACTGCCTGTTCAACTTTGGACTAGTGTCACACTTATTATTGATCCTTGTAGCCAAGAGTAATGATCTCAAAACAATTGTGTAACCCTCCTCATTTTTTCCTTAAAAACCTTGTCTTTCTTTACCTCCCTGAATATGCACATAGTTTACTATGACTTATATATTCCTATTGCAATGCCCTTATTCCCAAATAAATATTATTTTCTTTTAGATACCTTATCTCTCTGTTTGCTATCTAAGCTGACACTGTACCCCAGTTTGGGGAAATTTTAAAAATCAGAAAGCAAAGATTACAAACAGAAATCTGTAATTGCCTGGGGCAATAAGCAGACAGATTAACCAAGATAAAGATTTAGAAATAGGCAAAGGTCTCTTTGCTCAATCCCCTAGTGGGGATCCAAAGCCTTATGTACGCAAGTGAATGAAATGGTCAGGAAGTGGTGAAGAAAAATTCCTGGGAATCCTTGATATGGGAGCCCCATGCACTGTGGTTCCAAGATTCATTGGTGAAGCCCTTGTTGGAACTACAATTAGATTGAGAGAACATAACAATGTAAAAGTTGATAGGATTATGAAAGTTGGAATATTTAAACAGGCCTTGTTTAAAGAAGTCGTGTCTCCTTTACCTAAATGCTTTATGGGAATGGATATTATGTCTGGCTGGGGAAAACTTCCTCCACCTAGTATTATAAAACAAAAGGCATATAAATCTGCTCTTCAAATGATACTAATTGGATATGCTAAAGGGAACCAGTAAGATTCCCTGAGTCCACACAGTGTAGAACAGACGCTTAAGTAATGGTAGGAACAAATCCTGGGTGTGATAGCCCTATGTAAAGCCTAGACTATTGCTTATGGCAAAAGACTGTGAACACCTCCCAGCAATTACTACTGGGAATCTGAACAAGAGAATTTCCACTTTAGGGGCATTTACTACCTTGCTATGGGATATTAATTGAAGCTAGCCTTATGACTGAAGGACATAAAATGATCTTGAAACCGAAATACCCATGATGTATTGGATAATGTCACAGAAACACTCTAAATGGGGATGCTACTGCCCAGAAGAGTTCCATAATAAAATGGAAATGGCTTATACAAGATCATGCTATCTGAGGAATGCAAAGAGGAAATACTCACAAGCAGGGAGCCTCTCTTCCCCCAGGATTGACTCTGGAAATGTGTGAGGAGCTGCTGGATTCCATAGTGTCCTGTAAACAGTCTCAACTGACTATTCAAGAGCTTTTGGGTTTGCAGGTGGCAATTTTCAGGTGAATGGATGACATGCTATTTAGATGGTTGCTACTCTGGGAAGGTAAAAACAAATCAGCTTGGTGGGCTGAGTTATATGCTGTCTTTCCAGCAGCAATTGAAGAATTGAACAGTGTTAAAAGCCCCTGTGCTTGGGTTTTTACTAACTCATGGTCAGTGGCCAATGGTCTGGAAAAATGGTCAGTCAGAAAGACAATGGAAAAGGAATGCTCATATGGGCCAAAGTCTTAGGGAAATTTGAAAGGTGCACTAAATTTCAATGCCCAGCAATGCCCAGGTCAGGAGGTGATTTGAATTGACAAGCAGATATTCCTGTGTGTTCATTTGAGGTGACCACCCGGGTCCATGAGATGACTGGTCATGAGGCTATTGCAGCAGTGCAGAGATGGGGCTAAGTCTAGACATGTTCTTTTGCACCCTCTCAGATGCATAATGCCAAAAAAAATGGCAATAAAAACTGTTCAATCTGCCAGCAAAAGAGACAGAGATTGCCAATGGCTATGGGGCAGATTCCTTAGTTGGAAGGCTCAAACATAGCTGGCAAGTGAGACTGATGCTGATAACCCTGAGGGAATACAAATATAAGTCTTGACAGAAATAGACACTGATTCTAGGCTAGATTTTGCTTACCCCATGGAAGGTAAAAATGCTCAGCCTGCTACTTAAACAAACAAGAACAGAAGATACTGAATGGATTTGGATGGCCAACCATTATTTCTTCAGACCAAGGAATATGCTGTATATCCCATAATGTTCAACAATAGTCGTAGAGGTAACCTCCTCAGAGTAAGTTTGATAGACATAGAATCTGCAATTAAAACATTGACTGACTAAATCACGGGAAGATAAAAGCATGAAGGGTTGGCTTACACACCTTTACAAGTGTGTGCTCACACTCAACATAAGTGGAGCTAAAAAAAAAGTGTCACCACTATATTTTCCTTTGTTTCTGGTGGAACTGGGAAGAAGGGGTGGGGAAGCATGCTGGCATGACTATGCAATTCTTGCCAAGGGAGTAATATGCTGTTGTAATGATTATAATTTTTTTCTTTCTTCCCCATATTGTCTCAATTTGATTTTTCTCCCCTACCTAACGCAGAGGTCCTAGGACCAGGGCTGCAACTACAAGAGTTAGAAACTGGGATGATTCCTAACCAAGAAACTGTAACTGTATTTTTAAACCTTATGTCAGAATTCCTAAGGGCCTGATGAGGGTGAGTTGAGCCCCCAGCCCACCTGGAAAAATTGGGGTTAACAGTGAATGCAGCTATATTGTCTGGAAGTAAAAAATAAACCATGAGTTCTGCACCTCATAACCTTACTCTTTCTAAATGGGAGTCGACTGAGAGAGAGGTACTTACTAGATTGGTATTGCTGCCTACAATGTAGACCAGCATAGTGGCCTATACTAATGTCTCTTCAAAAGATTAGAAAAAAAAGTTTGGTATTAATGAAGAAAAGGAGGAATAGTAGCTGAGGGTAAAGAAATGAGTAACTGGGTTATGAATTGAAGGACATCCAATATTACATTTACACCTTGAAAGAGGCTCAGAGCAAGAGATGACATTGTCTTTTAACTCAATTATACCAGATGCCTCAAAAGTTGAAGCTATACACTTGCCTTTGGAAACTGGCTAGATTGAATGAACGTCTACTTCCATTTTGTCCCTGTTTTGATAAGGAACAAAACAGCGATGCTCACTTCTTTTCAACACAGTGATGAAAGAGCTATTAAGCAAGAAATACATAGAGCAATTAAGCAATAAATAAATATATAGTACTATTAAGAACAATTAAGCAAAAAATAAAGTCATCATAATAGGAAAGAAAGAAATGAAATTCTCTCTATTTACTGATAACATGGCCTTATATATAGAAAATCCTAAAGACCCCACCAAGAAACTGTGAGAACTGATAAATTCAGTAAAGTTGCAGGATATAAAATCAACATATGAAAATCAGTACTTTCTATATACTAATAACAAACTATCTGAAAAGGAAATCAAGAAAACAATCCCATTTACAATAGCATCAAAAACAACAAAAAATATTTAGGTGTAAATTTAACCAAGGAATTGAAAGAACTGTAGAGTGAAAACTATAAAATACTAATGTAATAAGTTGAAAAAAACACACACAAATAAATGGAAAGATATCCTATGTCCACTGACTGAAAGAATTAATATTGTTAACATGTTCATACTACCCAAAGCAATCTACAGATTCAGGGCAGTTCCTATCAAAATTACAATGTCATTTTTCACAGAAATAGAGAAAAAAAAGTCCTTAAACTGATATGAAATGGCAAAGACTCAAAACAATCTTGAGCAAAAAAGAACAAAGCTGAAGGCATTACACTGCATGATTTCAAAATATATGCTAAAATGTTGTAATCAAAATAGCACAATACTGACACCAAAACATACACATATATCAATTGAAAGGATAGAAAGACCAGAAATAAATCCACACATTTATGGTCAATTGATTTTTGAGAAAGGTACCAAAAGCACATAATGGGACAAGGACAGTGTTTAATAAATGAGATTGGAAAAACTGATTACTTACATGCAGAAGAATAAAATTTGATCCCTGTCTTACACCATGTACAAAAAATTTACTCAAAATGGGTTAAAGACTTAAATCTAAGACCTGAAATAGCAAAACTACTACAGGAAAACATGGTGGAAAATCTTCACATTTGTCTGGACAGTGATTTTTCAGACACAACCCAGAAAACATAGGCAACAAAACTAAAACAAATTGTATTAAACCAAACTATAAAGTTTTTGCATAGCAAAAGAAACTATCAACAGAGTGAAAAGACAATCTACAGAATGGAAGAAAATGTTTGCAAACCGTACATCTGATAAGAGGTTAATATCCAAAATTTTTGAGTAACACAAACAACTCAATAGCAGGAGAACAAATAACCCAATTAAAAAATAAGCAAACAACCTGAACAGACAGGTCTCAAAAGGCATACAAATGAACAGGTACACAAAGAAATGCCCAACATCACTAATCATTACTGAAATGTAAATTAAAATCACAATTAGATATCAACTTCCAGCTATCAAAATAGCTTTTATCAAAAAGATCACATATGTTGGCAAGGGTGTGGAGAAAAAATAACTCTTGTACATTGTTGGTGGAAATGCAAATTAGTACATCCATTATGGAAAATGGCATGAAGGTTCCTCAAAAAACTAAAAGTAGAACTATCATATGATCCAGCAATCCCACTACTGAATATAGAGCCAAAGGAATTGAAATCAATATGTCAAGAGATATATGCACTCCTCTGTTTAATGTAGCATTATTCACAATAGCCAAGACATGAAATCAACCTGTGCCCATCAACGGATGAATGGATGAAGAAAATGTGGGATATATACATAATGGAATACTATTCAGCCTAAAAAAAAAATCTGTCATTTGTAAAAACACAGATGAATCTGAAGGACACTATGCTAAGTGAAATGAGCCAGGCAAAAAAGACATACTGCATAATCTCACTTATATGTGGAATCTAAAAAAGTCGAACTCATAGAACCAGAGAGTAGAATTATGGCTAGGAAATGCTGGCAGTAGGGGTAAGGGTAATGGTCAAAGGGTACAAAGTTTCAAATAGAAGAATACCTTTTGAGATCTATCTAACAGCAGGGTGGCAACAGTCAATAGTACTGTATATTTCAAATAACTAATGATAAATTTCAAATATATTGCCATAAAAATAAGTTAGATTATAGATATGTTAATTAGCTAGATTAAATCATTCCACATTGTTTACATACATCAAAATATCACATACCCCATAATTTGTACCCCATAAACGTATGCAATTTTGATTTGCCAATTAAAATATTAATAAATTAGAAACTAAATACTTAAGTGGAGTGACACAACATGTTCACAATTTAAAAAATAAAATCTATTTAAAAATGTATACACCAACCTTCTGGTGTTTACATTAGTCTTAATGGGAGCCATTTGACCTTCCAGTTCAAGTATTTGTTGGACACTAACCAGAAAATCTGTGTCCTAATCCCCAGCAAAAAGAATATTATTGTACCATCTTGGATCAGATGTTTGATCTATCTTATTCTAAACAACAGTGCCTGGGAGTATCTGGACACATGACTCCTGCTGCCAATGTTTGGGCCATGGGAGAAGCCTCTGTGATGTAAAGTGACTAACATGTTCACCAGCTCACCAGTTCTTCACAAATAGAAGAGATCAGACCCCTGGGAGACGGGGAGGAGGAAATTTTCCCCTGAGTATCAAGAAAAACATCAGGACACAGAGGGGTTACAAAATGGTAATATTCTCATTCTATCATCATTTTTTACCTAGTTGGAATGCCTTCCTTATGTCAACCACTTGGTTATCTTATAGTACAGTGTATACAGGAAAGTCATGTCTTATCTTTCCCTTCATTTATCCGTTTTCAAAATAAAGAGTTGATTTCTTAGCATCTTCTAAAATCTTAATAAATTTTGTTTTTTAATTTTAGTATCAGTACAAATTATTGGACTTAAACATATTTGATGTGTTTCAATCTATTGCAGTTATTATTCTTATTGTTGCTCAAAATTATACCACGTTTATCGAGTGAGATCCTATTCAGGTTGAACTCCAAGTCCTTTCCTATATCACTCTCTGTCTCTAATAGGATCAATTTTGTTAAGCTGTGTATTTTTAGAAAATTAGCTATTTCTCCTTTTTCATTGTATTTATATAAATTGATGCAAGATAGTCTTTTTTTATTTTTAAAATTTCCCCTATTAATGATATTTACTTATATTTCTAATTTTGTGCTAGTTCTAATTTTGAATGTTTGTGCATTGCCTCTTTCTCTTGTTAATTGATACAGAAATATTTTATTATTCTAATTAAAAACATAAAGAAAGTAATTACTTTTTACTTACTCCCCAGTGTGTGGCAAGGATTTTAGCATATATTTTACTTTCACTGTTTATCTTACTCTTATTATTCCTGTTTTTATGATCACGTTCTTTAATGCTGACAGCTTTAAGTTTACATAGAGTAAAATACATAAATCCTAAATGTATGTATTGTACAAGAGTTACAATTGGTTCACATCTTTATGAACACTCCGTATTATCCATATTTTTGACTGTAGCCATTCAGGTGTGTGTATGTAATAGTATCTCATTGTAGTTTTAATTTTCATTCTCCTGGTGATAAGGACATTGAGTACCTTTTAACATGAATATTGCTTAGTTAGATATCTTTTATTAAATGCCTATTTAAACCTTCAGATAATTTTGTATTAGGTTATCATTAAAATATCAATTAGTAATAGTTCTTTATCGTATGCAAGATTAAACTGCAAGTGGTCCTTGACCTACAATGGTTTGACTTTTTTTTAAATTTATGATGAGTATTGGGATATTAAATGCATTTTTGACTTAATGATATTTTCTACTTGCACTGGGTTTATCAGGACATAACCCCATCATAAGTTGAGAAGCATCTATATGGTGAATATTATTTCCAATTCCTGGCTTGCTTTCACTTTTTTGATGACGACTTTTGTAAGTAGAAGTTTTCCATTTTTATGAGGTCAAATTTATCACTTTGTTCTTTTATATTTAGTGGTTTCATGTTTTGTCTAAGAAAGCTTTGACTATTATTTTTGTCTAGAAGATTTATAGTTTTAACTTTCACTTGGAGATCTACGATGCATTCTCCAATTAATTTTGTATACGGTGATATAGGGCTCAAGGTTCACTTGTTCTAATTTGTAAATCCAACTGTTTGGGATATATATGCTTATATATAGCATCTGTATTTATACACATATAATGACATTATATCCTGAGACCTTACTAAACTCACTTATTAGTACAAATAGTTTATTTGTAGATTCCCTTTTCAATTCTGTATGTATATAATCATAAAATATGTGAGGAAATATAACTTTATTTTTTCCTTTCCAAACTGTATTCCCCTAATTTATTTGTCTTGCTTTTTTGCACTGGTTAAGAGTTCAGTACAACGTTAAACAAAAACAGAAAGAGTGGATGTAATTGCCTAGTTCCCAGTCCTAAAGGGAAAGACGTTTAATAGTTCACATTAAGTGTGATGTTAGCTGTAGGTTTTTAACAGATACCCTTTATAAAACTGAGGAAATTTCCATCTATTCTTAGTTTGCTGAGAATTTTTATCTTTAGTTGGTGTAGAATTTTTTCAACTGCTTGTTCTGCACCTATTTGAGATAATGGGGTTTTTCTCTTTTATTCTGTTAACTTGGTAAACTCCACTGACTTTCAAATATTAAACCAATCTTACATTCCTGACATAAAGTACATTTGGTCATATTTGATCACAATGTATTATATGTATAAATATAAATATGCGTATGTATGTATTGTAAGGGTTTTTGCATCTGTACTCATAAGGATACTGGTCTGAAATTTGGTGTCTTGAGGATATTAAAGCAATACAGTGTTGGTCTCATAAAATGATTTGGGATGCATTCATTCACTGTCTTTTCACTAAAAGATTTTGTGCAAAATCAGTATATCTTTTTAAATGTTTTATAATATTCACCAGTAAAGTAATATGAGATTAGAGATGGTTTTTAATTAAAAGTTCAATTTATTTAACAGATCTGTAAGTGTTCAGATTTTATATTTGTTATTGTGTCTAGTTTTGAAAAAATTATATTGTAAGGAATGTGCCCATTTTCTAAGGTGCTAAATTTATTGGCTTAAAAGTTGTTCATGGTATTTCACTTTTATACTTACAATGCCTGTCAAACCTGTAATGATATTTCTGTTTTCAATACTGATTTGTATTTTCTCTCTTTCTCTTTCAGTTTTATAAATCTTTTTAAAGAAAACATTTTGAGCTTTGTCAATTTTCTCTATTATTTGCTTTCTGCTCTTGTTTTGCTTTCCTTTCTTTGCATCTAATTTTCTATTTTTTTCTGTCTTCTTAAGTGAAAGCTTACATCATCAACTGTAATCCTCATTTTCGTTTTTAATATGTGCATTTAAAGCTATGAATTTCCCTCTAAGTAGTGATTTAGCTACATCTCATAAATTTAGAAATGTTGCACTCACATTGTTTAGGCAAAATATTTTCTAATTTCCGTGAGTTAGTTAGATTTATGTTGTTGGATTTCTAAATATTTAGAGACTACTTACTTAACTTTGAAAATACTGATTTTTGGAGAGTTCCATTGTTGTCAATGAATATACTCACTATGACTTCCATATTTTGACATTTATTAATATTTATGGCTGGGCATGGTGGCTCACACCTGTAATCCCAGCAATTTGGGAGGCCAAGGTGGGTGGATCTCCTGAGGTCAGGAGTTCAAGATCAACCTGGCCAACATGATGAAACCCTGTCTCTACTAAAAATACAAAAATTAGCCAGGTGTGGTGGTGCACGCCTATAATCCCAGCTACTCGGGAGGCTGAGGCAGGAGAATCACTTGAACCTGGGAGGCAGAGGTTGCGGTGAGCCAAGATCATGCCACTGCACTCCCGCCTGAGTGAGAGTGACAGAGTGAGACTCCAACTCAAAAAAAAAAAAAAAAAGATTCATATGGCCCAGAATACAGGCTGTAATTTGGTTACTATTCCATGTGCACTGGAAAAAATGTGTAATATGTCATTATTGGGTATATAGTGTTTTATAATTGCCAATTAGATCATAAAGAGTCATAGTATTAAAATCTATGTTCTTTAAATTTTACTCTGCTTATTCAAATAATTACTAACAGAAAAGTTTTTAAATCTTCAACTATTTTTATATATTTGCCTATTTCTCTTTTATATATTTGTCATTTTTCTCTTTACATATTTTGAAGCTATATTTTTGAAAATCATATATTTGGGATTGTTATTAATATATCTCTTAGATGAAATTTAATACCTTACATTATAGAGCAGTGGTTCCCAATGTATTTTGCACCTGGGACTGGTTTCATGGAAGACACTTTTTCCACAGATGTGGTCAGGTGCAGTCTCGAGATGAATCAAGCATTAGATTCTCATGAGGAGTGCATAACCTAGATCCCTCGCATACACAGTTTACAATAGGGTTCACACTACTGTGAGAATCCAATACTGCTGCTGATCTGACAGGAGGTGCAGATAAGGCTCTAATGCTTGCTTGCTCACTGTTCACCTCCTGCTAAGCGGCCTGGTTCCTAACAGGCCGTGGTCTGGTCCTACTAGTTCATGGCTAAGGATTGGGGAACCTTGTTATAGAGAATTTTTCTGATATCTGATAGTACTTTTTGTCTCAAAATCTTTTTGTCTGACATTAGTGTAGCTTCATTATTTTTCTTAAAGGTAGTATTTGTATGATATACATTTTTCTGTTTATTCATGTTCAGCTCAATGCTGTTCTTTTATTTAAGGTGCTATCTGTTGTAAACAGCATATAGTTGGGTCTTTTAACTATACAATCTGACAATATCCGCCTTTTAACTAGAAAGTTGGTCCATTTACAATTAATGTAGTTACTTCTGTGGAAAGGTAAATTGATTTCTTTTGGTCTTCTGTTTTCACTTTTTATTGGTCTTTTAGCTATATTTATTTGTATTGTCTTTCATGGTTGTGCTAGAGATCATAATATGAATTATTAACCCTTTGCAATCATAGTTTACATTTAATTAATGTTATTCAACATAGCATATAATGTAAGAACCTATATCAGTAAATTCCTTTTAACTTTCTTTGCCCTTTGTGTCACTTTTGTCATATATTTTAACTCTAAAATCTGTATAAATCTTATTACACATTTTTCATTATTTCTACTTTGAACAATTTAAGGATATTTTAATGAACTTTTTAATGCACATATTTATCCATGCTCTGCTTTCCTTTCTGAAGAGCCATGCTTTCATCTTGTATTATTTGTCTTCAGCCTGAAGAACTTCCTACTACTATTTCTTGCAGTATGCTTCTAATAGCAACAAATTGTCCTGGTTTTTCTTTATCTTAAAATTCTTTTACTTCATCTTCATTTTTAAAGAACATTTTTACTGGATGTAGAATTTCAAGTGACAGCTTTTTTTCCTCAAGATTTTAAAGATCGCATTCTATTACTCTAGCTTCTTTTTGTTTTCAATGAGAAGTCACCTTATTATTTAAAAATTTTGTCCTCTTTCTCTGGCTGGTATTATAATTTTTTATATTTTTATTTTTCAGCAGCTAACCTATAAAGTAATGAGTGCAGCCTTTGTATTTATCCTGCTTAAAGGATACTTTTTTAACGATTTTTGTTTGTTTTTGAGACAGGATCTCACTCCATCACCCAGGCTGCAGTGCAGTAGCATGATCATGGCTCACTGCAGCCTCAGTCTCCCAGTTTCAGGTGATCATCCCACCTCAGTCTCCTGGGTATCTGTGACTACAGGCATGCACCACCACACCTGGCTATTTGTGTGTGTGTGTATTTTTTCTAGAGCTGGAGTCTCACAATATTGCCCAGGCTTGTCTTGAACTCCTAAGCTCAAGTGATCTGCTTACCTCAGCCTCCCGAAGTGCTGGGATTAGAGGAATGAACCACTGTGCCAAGTTGAGCTTTTTTTAAACTTTAGTTTAGGTTCAGGGGTGCACGTGCAGGTTTGTTATTCAGGTAAACTCATGTCATGGGCATTTGATGTACAGATTATTTCATCACCCAGGTACTAAGCCTAGTAGCAATAGTTATTTTTTCTGTTCCTCTTCCTTCTCCCACTCTCCTCCCTCTGGGGGAGCTCCAGTGTCTGTTGGTCCGCTCTATGTGTCCATGTGCTCTCATCATTTAGCTCCCACTTATAAGTGAGAACATGCAGTATTCGGTTTTCTGTTCCAGTGTTAGTTTGCTAAAGATAATGGTCTCCAGCTCCATCCATGTTCCAAAAGGTCATGATCTCATTCATTTTTATGGCCGCATAGCATTCTATGGTATATATGTCCATTGACGAACATTTAGGTTGGTTCCATGTCCTTGCTATTGTGAATGGCTGCAATGAACATGTGCATGTATGAGTCTTTATGATAAAACAATTTCTATTCCTCTGGGTACATACCCAGTAATGGGATTGCTGGGTCAAATGATAGTTTTGTTTTTAGCTCTTTGAGGAATCACTATACTGTCTTCCACAGTGGTTTAACTAATTTACAATCCCACCAACAGTGTATAAGCATTCCCTTTTCTCCACAACCTCTCCAGCATGTTTTTTGACTTTTTAATAATAGTCATTCTGACTGGTGTTAGATAGTATCTCACTGCAGTTCTGATTGGCATTTGTCTAATGATCGGTGATGTTGAACTTTTTTCATATGCTGTTGGTCACATGTATGTCTACTTTTGAAAATTGTCTGCTCATGTCCTTTGCCCACTTTTTAATGGGGTTTGTTTTTTTCTTATAGTTTAGGTTCCTTATAGATGCTGGATATTCGACCTTTGTCAGATGCACAGTTTGCAGATATTTTCTCCCATTCTGTAAGATGTTTGTTCACTCTGTTGATAATTTCGTTTGCTGTGCAGAAGCTCTTAAACTTAGTTAGATCCCATTTGTCAGTTTATGCTTTTGTTGCAATTGCTTTTGGCATCTTCATTGTGAAATCTTTGCCATTTCTTATGTCCAGATGGTATTGCCTAGGTTGTCGTCTAGGGTTTTTATGGTTTCGGATTTTACATTTAAGTCTTTAATCCATCTTGAGTTGATTTTTGAATATGGTATAAGGAAGGGTATCCAGTTTTAATCTTCTGCATATGGCTAGCCAGTTCTCCCAGCACCATTTACTAAACAGGAAGTCCTTTTCCCATCACTTGTTTTTATCAGCTTTGCCAAAGATCAGATGGTTGTAGGTATGTGGTCTTATTTCTGGGATTTCTATTCTGTTCCATTGGTCTACATGTCTGGTATTGTGCTAGTACTATGCTGTTTGTTACTATAGCCTTGTAGTACAGTTTCAAGTTGCGTAGCATGATACCTCCTGCTTTGCTCTTTTTGCTGAGCAAAAAGAACATTTTGAATTTGATGTTGTTCATCAATTTTAGGAAATTTGTATCAATTTCTTCTACCGTATTCTGTCTCTTCTTTCTTCATGGGCTTCCAAATAAACATATATTAAACCACTTAATGTTGTGACAGATGCTGGGGTTTTTTATGCTCATTCATTTTAATTTTTAAATTATCTTTTATCTATTTGCTTCAGTTTGAATAATTTATGTTTCCCTTTCTTTAAGGTTACTAGTCCTTTCTGTGCTCTATTCAATATGCTTATAAATCCATCCAATTAATTTTTTATTCTAGATATAATTTTTAGTTCTAAAATTTCCATTTAAGTCTTTTTATACTTTGTGTTTCTCTGCTAAAACACCACATCTGTTTGACCGTATATTTTTTCTCTAAATTGTTTTATATAAATAATATTTTTATAATGGTAATTTAAAGTCTTTACAAATTTCTACACTTCAGCATCTCTGGGCCTTCTTCTACTGACTGATTTTTGTCTTGGTTATGTGCCACAGTCTCCTTCTTTACGTATCTAGTAATTTTTTATTATATTATTAACATTGTAGATAGAATACTATGTAGATTCTGGATTATTTCATCTTCCTTCAATAAGGGCTATATTTTGTCTAACAGACAATAAATTACGGTGAATCACTTTGATCCTATAGGTATCTGATTTTAGGTTTTTTGAGGATTTGGTTTAGTTTTGAAGGTAGTCCTAAATACCTAAGGACCTCCATGTTTGTTAACAGCCATTATTCCTAGGATGTGGCACCTACTCTGAAAACTATTTCCCTGAGGTCTTAAATTTGATCAGGATGTACACTAAGATCTCCCTACTCTAGCTCCAATACCTCCTTAGCATTATGCAATCTCTCTTCTACCCCAACAGCAATTCTCTGCTAGCCCTATAGGCCTTGTTCAGCAGTCTTATCCTGCCTATGCACGATTTAGGATTTGGTCAAGAACCTAAGAGGAACCCCTACACAAATTTCTGAATGTTCTTTGCAGCTGTTTTTCTCTGGTACTGTGTCTTTCAATTCAGCTGCTGTTTTAGCAACCACAAACTCCCATCTCTAATTCCTCTGCCCAGAGAGGCTAAGATTCTCTGCCTGAATGGCATATCACCATTAAACTCTAGGAAATGCCCATAATAGCAAACTTGAGTGAATGTAGATCTTACCTTGTATGCTTCACTCAAAGATTGCAACTCCATGCACCGTGCAATGCCTGAAACTCTTGTTTCATGTGTATTTTCCAGTTTATAGTTGTTTATTACAGGAGATTAAATCCAATACTAGCACTCCATTGTGACTGGAACCAAAAGTGCCTGTAATCAATTGTTCAAAATCCAGACTAGTATTATAATATTGCTTATTTCTATAATTATGCTTTTTAACAATTTTTTAACATTTGTATTTTGCTTTGTTACACTAAAGTATTTTTTATTCTAAGCTCTATATTTATACTGCTTCAAAATTCACCCAATGGCTTATCTATTCTTTAAAATAATACGGTTTTGAATTATTAATCTCTCAATTCACTAAAGAATGCCTTTGAGTAATTATTTTTTTCATACCGTTTAAATAACAGACATATTCTAAAGCTTTGCATTTTTAAAAAAAATCTAGCTGTTGCCTTAATATCTTAACATGAATGGTAGCTCCACTGGGTATTTTCTGTTCATGTTGTCTCATTTTTTATTGGCATTCATATTTTAATAGTGTGAAGTCAACCCACTTGGCATCCATTTGAACAAAAACTACATCTTACTTTCTACCTTGTTGCTCATGAATTTTTATTATCCTTGAAGTTTAAAATGTCTTCCATGATGCCTACAGATGTATTACCATTAATATCACCTAGAATACAGTGACCCTTTATATTAATAATTTATAGACTTAGCCAGAAACTTTATATCTATTTTACTGAATATTAATGCTTCTGATATATATCAGAATATAAATATGTCAGAAGCATCAATAGCCAGTAAAATATATTCTGATATATATAAAACATATATAAGTATATATCAGAATATATTGCTTACTTCTGTAGTTATGCTTTTTAAGAATATATTAATATGTCCTGCTATATCTGATATATATCATCAGATATAGCAGAACATATTAAAATATATACATATATATTCTGGTATATATCAGAAGCATTAAAATACAGTAAAATAGATATAGAATATACATATCAAGAGCATTTTATATATATAATAAGAATTATATATATATCAGGGGAATTTTTATAGACACAAAATTTTGATCTTATTTAGGAACACTAAAAATTCATAGGTTGGCTCTCCATTTCTCAATACTTGCTATTGTTTTGCTTTCTTGCTTTTTCTTTACATTCTTTTTCTCTTTAAGTCTCTGAAACTTTTGAATGTTTTTCTTCATCTCCATGGTAAATTTTCTAGAGAGCCAATTTTGCTTCCTATAGATAATTTAGTTGCGCCCTTACGTATTGAAATTCTTTCCATTCTTTACCACATGACAACTACCTTCTGTCATGCTGTTCTTTATCC